>NC_000010.11:50900671-51052186 GCF_000001405.40 Homo sapiens
CTTATAATCACTATCGGCCAAATAGTGAATATAATGATGTTATTACTTGGGCATGCACATCAATATTTGAAGGATTAGTTATCACTGGTTTGGAACAAAGTCCTGAAGATAGCAGTGTGTGATTCTTTTTAAAAATGTGTATTCAACCATCTTGATGGCACAGGGAGGGAAAGTATGTGGAGAAACCTAGACCTAAGGAGAGCCAGACTGAGTGTGAGAAGTTTTGCGATGACCTTAAATTTGTTTTCCATCTGCTCCTTATTATTATGTATGAAAGCATATGTAATGAAAATCTATATCCAAATAAATCTAAAGAAGCTATTTCAGCAAGAAAGTTTTTTTAAAAATCTAAGGGATAAGAAAGCATTATGTCATGGGGCAGTGTTTTTCTTGTCTTACTGGTGCATAAAGGGGTATCTTACCCTTGTAGTGTATTAGATTTGATAAAATATGGTAGCTGCAGGTCCTCAAGTAGCACAGGCTTTGGTTTTGCTATAGAGCTTCTGGCTTCATCTTCCATCCAATGCTCTTGGTTTAATGTGTCAGCCTCATGCTTAGGTTGGTTCAGGCCTCGCATCCTTATACAGAGGTCCAGAGGAAGACAGAGATCTTCATGGGTCCATTCTCCTATAACCTCTGTCTGTAGGAAAAAGCTGTAAGCTGCTTGGCTTACATCTCGTTTCTTTAATTATTGGCAAGAGGGGATGACAATATAATGATTAAGATTAATCAGTATACAATTTGAAAACTACATGGGCTGGCACACAAAGGGAAGAGGATGGAAAGAATGTTGAAAGGCAACCTCATAGTGTCCACTACGATGGTTTTCTCTCTTTTTGTTTAAACTAATAGTGTCAAGGCACATTTTTAAAGTTTATCACTTTTGTTGAAACCTAAATCTCTTCCGATTACTAGATTCAATAAGCATCAAAATTTCTGGTAATTATCTGCACAAAATATAATATATTTTGTGTCTATCTGCAGATTACATAATATTATATGTAGAAAAGCCTAAGGAATCCACCAAAAAAGCTATTAGAATTAATTAACAAATTCAGTAAAGTTGTAGAATACAAAATTAACATGTAAAAATCATGTGCATTTCTATATACAAACAATGAAATATGTGAGAAAGATCAATAAACAATCCAATTTATAATAAATGGAACAATAGGAATAGACTTAACCACTAAAAACTATAAAGAATTGATGAAATAAATTGAAGAAGACACAAATAAATGGAAAGACATCCTGTAATCATGGTTTTGAAGACTTAATGTTAAAATGTCCATGCTACTCAAAGTAATCTGTAGATTTCAATGATATCCCAGAAAAATCCTAATGGCATTTTTTTTATAGAAATGGAAAAAGCAATCCTAAACTTCCCAAGCGAGCCACAAAAGACTGTGAATAGCCAAATCTGTCTTGAAGAACAAAGCTGGAGGCATCACACTTCCTGATTTCAAACTATGTTACAAAGTCTATGGTAATTAAAACAGTATAGTACTAGCATAAAGACATACAGCCAAATGAAATAGAATAGAGAGCCCAGAAGTAAATTCATGTGTATATGATCCACTGATCTTTGACAAGAGTGCCATGAATATGTGATGGGGAAAGGATAGTTTCTTCAATAAATGCTGTGGGAAAAACTGAGTATCTATATGCAAAAGAATGAAATAGGTCTTATATGTTCTACCATACACAAAATCAACTCAAACTGGATTGAAGACTTAATACCTGAAACTATAAAACTCTTAGAAGAAAAACTAATGGAAAATTTTCTTGACATTGGTCTTGGCAGTGATTTCTTGGATATGATAGCAAAGCACTGGCAACTAAAGCAAAAATCGACAAGTGAGACCACATCAAATCCAAAAGCTTCTGTACAACAAAAGAACAATTAGAGTGAAAAGGCAACCTAAAGAACGGGAAAAAATCTCTGCAAACAATTTGTCTGGTAATGTGTTAATATGCAAAATGTAAGAAACTTCTATAATTCAATAGAAAAAATCTGCAAAACAAAACATGATTTAAAAGTGAGCAAAGAACTTGAATAGACATTTTTCCAAAGAAGACATACAAATAGCCAACAGTATATAAAAAGTTGTACAGTATCATTAATCATTGGACATATGTAAGTCAAAAATACAGTGAAATAACATTTCACACCTGTTTAGATGACCATTATCAAAAATAGAAAAGAAAACAAGTATTTATGAGGATGTGGAGAAATAGGAATCCTTGTACACTGGTGGTGGGATGTCCAATGGTGCAGCCACAGTATGGAGGTTCCTCAAAAAATTAAAAGTAGAACTATCATGTAATCCAGCAATCCCACTTCTGTGTATATATCAAAAGAAATTAAAGTGGAAATTCTGCACTTCCATTGGAGAATTATTCACAATAGCCAAGATATGGAAATGGATTTGTTCACTTGTATTGCTATAAAGGAAAACCAGAGGCTGGGTAATTTATAAAGAAAATAGGGTTATTTGCAAAACAGCAAGGTATTGGTACAAAAACAGACACATACACCAATGGAATAGGATAGGGAACTCAGAAATAAAGCTGCACACCTATAACTCTCTGATCTGCAACAAAGTTGACAATAACAAGCAATAGGGAAATGACTCCCTATTCAATAAATGATGCTGAGAAAGCTGGCTAGCCATATTCAGAAGAATAAAACTGGATCTCTACCTTTCACCATACACAAAAATTAAGAATACTTAAAGACTTAAATATAAAACCTAAAACTATAAAAATCCTAGAAGAAAACCTAGGAAATACCCTTCTGGTAATCAGCTGTAGCAAAGAATTTATTACTAAGTCCCCAAAAGTAATTGTAACAAAACAAATAGATCTAATTAGGTGACATCTAATTAAACTAAAAAGCTTCTGCATAGCAAAAGAAACTATTAACAGAGTAAACAGGCAACACAAAGACAAAGGGAGAAAATACTCATATATTATGCATCCACCAAAGGTCTAATATCCAGAATTTGTAAGGAACTCAAACAATTGAACAAACAAAAGACAAATAGCTCCATCAGAAAATGGGCAAAAGACTTGAACAGACACTTCTCAAAAGAAGACATAAATGCAGCCAGTAAATATATGAAAAATGCTCAATGTCACTAATCATTAGAGAAATCCAAATCAAAACCACAATGACATACTATCTGACACTAGTAAGAGTGGCTATTATTAAAAGTCAAAACATAACAGGTGTTGGTGAGGTTGCAGAGAAAAGGGAATGCTATGCTTTCGGTGGGAATATTAATTTTTCAGCCACTGTGGAAAGCAGAAGACAGACCATAACAAATGTTGGCGGGGATGTGAAGAAAAGGGAATCCTTGTACACTGTTGGTAGGAATGTAAATTTGTTCAACCACTATAAAATAACAGTTTGGAGGTTCTTCAAAAAACTAAAAATAGAGCCACTATGTGATCCAGCAATCCCACCCCTAGGTATATATTCCAAATAAAGGAATTCAGTATATTAAAGCGATATCTGCACTTCCATATATATTGCTGCACTATGCACAATAGGCAAGATTTGGAAGCAACCTAAGTGTCCATCAATGGGAAATAAATAAAATAAATGTAGTACATAACAATATTCTGAGTACTATGCACCTATGAAAAAGAATGAGATCCAGTCATTTGCAACAACATGGATGGAACTGGAGGTCATTACATTATGTGAAATAAGCCACACATAAGAAGACAAACTTCACATGTTCTCACTTATTTGTGAGAGCCAAAAGTAAACAAACTCATAAGATGTAGCATAGAATGATGGTTACAAGAGGCTGGAATGCGGGTGAGAGGGAGTGGGAATGGTTAATGGGTACAAAAAAATAGTTTAAAAGAATGAATATAATCTAGTATTTGATAGCACAACAGGATGACTATAATAAAAATAATTTAACTACACATTTAAACTAACTAAAGGAATATAATTAGATTATTTGTAACACAAGGGATAAATGCTTGATGGATATCCCATTTACCCTGATGTGATTATTACACATTGTATACCTGTATCAAAATATCTCATGTGCATAATAAATATATACACCTACTATGTAGTCACAAAAATTAAAATATAAAATAGTAAAATGAAATGCATATGGGCAAACTATAAAATATTTTTGAAGCAAATATGTACAAAGCATATCAGACTTATTTGTTAGAATACTCTAGTACTTGAATATTTCTGTTGTAACATAAATGATATCAACATTTCAGGGAATCAAAGTTCAGTGTGGATATTTTAGCATAGTACATAAGAAAATTAAACACTGCTCTCTGGGAATATATTTGTTTAATGTTAACTGGTATCAACTGAGTGTCTTTGTAACCTAGGACCTTGGAAAAAGAATAGTTGCCATTTTCAGGATTGGGGAGAAAAGATGAGATCTGTTCTACACCCTGGGCTTATGTTTTATTATCTGCTTTACTTCTTGGAAAAGATATGAGAAGACACTAACTACTGGTAATTTGTAGATACAGAGAGATATGTTCCTCTTTTTTAAGAGAGAAGATGATGAAATTCTTAAATTATGGACAAAATGGCCAGGAGTGTCTAATTTCATTAACCAAGAGGGGGTAGTTGGAGCTTCTAGGGTGGCAAAGAAAGTTTGCACTGTTGTTTTCCCTATCACTATGACGAGCCTCAGGATGGGCTAAGTATTAGTGGTGCCAGGATCAGAGCTTCTGAAATATGTTCAAACTTATTAGAGCAAAAAAGTCTGAAACTGGGAGCAAAGAATTCAAAAATCCTGGGAATGTAAGAGAAGAGGTCTCACAGGTGACCAGAGAGGGGCTGTGGATAAATCCCAACTGGATTTCCAATGAAGGCCTTTTAGCAGAGTGACTAAGACCATAGGGCCTGACATTAGAGAGACTTGGATCTCTGCCACTTACCAGCTACATGACCCTCAACTAATTGTGTGACCTCCAACTTTAGTTTCCCTATCTGTAAAATAAGAATAGTACCTACCTTATTCTACTGTGTTTATTTATGTATTTATTTATTTATCTGGAGACAGAGTCTAGCACTGTTGCCCAAGCTGGAGTGCAGTGGCGCGATCTCTGCTCACTGCAACCTCCGCCTCCCGGGTTCAAGCAATTCTTCTGCCTCAGCCTCCCGAGTAGCTCGGATTACGGGATTACAGGTGTGTGCCACCATGCCCAGCTAATTTTTTTTTTTTTTTTTTTTTTGTATTTTTAGTAGAGATGGGGTTTTACCATGCTGGCCAGGCTGCACGGTCAGGTCTCTCGAACTCCTGACCTCGTGATCCGCCCACCTCGGCCTTCCAAAGTGCTGAGATTACAGGCGTGAGCCACCGCGCCCGGCCGTGTTTATTTCTTTCTTAACCTATTCCAGTCATGGCCTGTTTTTATTTCGTTTGTTGATTTTATTTGTGGTCTGTCTTCCCAAAGACAACATAAACTGCATGATGGTAGGAGCTTTGTTGGACTCATTCACTGGTATATTTTAAGCACTGGGTACAGTGAAGATATAAGAAAACGAGAAGGTGATTTGAAGACTATTGTCTTTAAGTAGATAAGAGGGGATGGAGTCAAGGAGACAAACTGAAAAAAGATGGGAAGGAAGAGGGCGATAGTCCAGCACTTCTCCAACTTTAATGTGTGTATGACTCTACTAGGATGTTGTTAAAATTGCAGATTATAATTTAGTAGGGCTGGGGTGGGGCTTGAGATTCTGAGTGTCTAACAAGCCTCCAGGTGATGTCAAGGCCATGTCACAGGGACCATACATTTAGTAGCATATTCTTGAGAAATTACTGGATCAGACACTGTAGTAGGGATGGGACTGGGAAATTGTGTTTTTAGCTAACTTCTCAGGTGATCATGATGTATATCAAAGTGAGAGGACTACTAGGAATAATAAGAGAGAAAAAAATAGAGATTTTAGGAAGCATAGAGGGGATGGCAGAGTTAGAATCAAGTTAATATCAGTTGACTATCAAAAAGGCTAAGATTAATATATGATAAGGCTGAATTGGGGTTCTGAGAGACTCTGAATTTTTATTTGGATCAAGGAAAAACTATGTCTTTAGCAGTGATTCCAACATTGCTATACTTTGTATTGCTTAAAATGAGAAATTACATATCCCATTCATTTTAACAATTATGTATTCTGATGAGTTTAAGCTGAGTGCTCTGAACTGATTGGCAAACACTGCACATAAATTGGAAAGCTTTTTAGTACCTGGCACTGCTTTTGTAAAGAACTAACTATGTCTAACAAGTAAAATTTGCCTCTACTGGAGAAAGCAGTGGCCAGCGTGTATTTAGGCTTCAATAAGATTTTGATTATTTTTAATATTTGCAAATTTGGGCACAAAGTTATCTTTAGACTGTATTATCAGTTGCTTAATATTAACTGGAAATTTTGGGAAGAGAACAAATTAGGTACTATTTTGTAGGCCTTTGGCCTTGGGCCACTGCTGTATACTATTTTTACATGATTTTAATGATGGAAGGAAAGAACAGCAATTAAACTTGCAAAGGTGGCAGAGCTGGTATCTTATGGATAAATCCAAATTCAAATTGTACTTAAGGCAGTGTAGAAGTGGTCTATTTTTTCACTCCATATAAGTATTTTATTAATGGATTTATTATGCTATATATCCATCATATCCAAAAACAACTTCGAGCAGACTCAACAAATATTTACAAGTCTACTATGAGAAAGACACCTTGGTAGGCACGGGGTAGAATACAGAGACAGAACAATTGAGTGCGGACTTCAAGGTGCTTACAACTGCATGAAGAAGGTAAGATGAGTACCTGAATAACATACAAGGCCTAAAGAGATATATCCTAGTAGAAATGGCAATGGAAGGCCATGGAAACTCTAAAGAAGGGAAGGGAGTTTTCATCAGCATGGATTACAGACATGATTCTGGAATTCAGCAACACTATTCAAAATGTAAAATACACATATACTTCGACTCTGCTGTCATAGAACAATTATAGTACATCCAGGTGCTGATCTAAGTTCTGTGTATCTTGACCCATATATAATTTTGCTGTTCCCTCGTTATGAGAAAAAAATATCAATGAGCCTATATAAGTGAGGGACCCTGGAGCTTGAGCACCATTAGCTTTATTATAAAAATCTTTCTCTGCTTTCTCTGACTAGAGCTAGAATGTATAATTTAGCACCATTTTTAGTGGCAAAAGAGTGAACTAATCAACTTGTTAGTAGAGTATTGATTAAATTATGACATATTTTATAATGGAGTATTATGCAGCTGCTAAGAAGGATGAGGGAATTCTATACATATGTACTGATATAGATACACACATATATATGTATATGTGTATATATATGGTGTGTGTATATATACATATATAGATAGATCTATGCATTCATATTGTGTGTGTATGTGTGTGTGTGTGTGTGTGAATATATATATATATATTCATGCTTATAGGTGCAATGAATGACCCTGAAACCAAATACATTGTTGCCTCTGGGAAATTCAGGGAGGTATGAGTGAGTTTCAATGGTGAAAGAAGACACACTTTCTAACTTCATATCCTTTGTACGGTTTGAATATTTACCATGTGTACCTATAGAATTTTAGGAAATAAATTTTAAAAGCAGCAACAACAATCAAAATGAAGAGCATTTGAGTCAGGCCCTGAGAGAAAAATAGCATGGATGTCTGTTTGGCTGTTGCATAGGGTGATGTTGGGTTCAAATGTCGAAGAAGCTCTTTCATGGAGGTAATGCAGAAACACCAAGCAGAGGACTCATTTGGCAGTAGCCATAGTTTGCAAATACTCATTTGGCAGCATTGGTGGTTTGCACTGGAGTGAGCAGTTTCTGAGCCTGTTACTATTGACCACCAGGAGAGACGTAAACAGGATCTGGACTGTGTTATGCAAGCAAGAGCATAGGCAAAATGATAGGAGTGGGTGGGAGATTGTGAAGATGGACACATCAGAGTCAGGGACTTCACTGGGTATGGAGAGAAGCTACGTAGAAAATGGTTACGGGAAATTTTGACAAAATAAGGTTAATTTAGTTAGAGAAAGTAGTGTCTGGTTGTGTGTTCTACATTGTTTTTCTCTGGTGGTTTGTGACGTGTATAAACTGTCTTACACAATTTTTCTCATTTGGAACGACTCCTGTTGCCATCAGCTCATTCAAGCTTCTTCCTTTTCTCGATGCCTAAGGGAAAGACAGGTCTTCTTTAGGGCCTAGTCTTTGATAGGAAACCCAGGAGGCATTAACAGAGTTATTCCCTGATCCTGTCTTCTGAAAATATGGAATGACGCAAACAAACAAACAAACAAATAAAAAGACGCCTCATTGGATAACACACACACAAAATAATAAAGAGGTTCATTGTTCTTCCCCTACCAGCTCCCTCTCTTCCTCCCTCTCTGCTCTTTGGCCATGCCATTGTGGGTTGGCTGCCATCTTCTCACTCCTACAATGCAGGGCTCACTTCCATCATAGCACTTACCACACTGTTTCACAGATATGTTTACTTGTCTTTCCTCCACTAGACGATATATTCCTTGAGGCCAGGAGCTGAGTGTTTTATTTTTATATAACCTGCTCTAGCGCTGTAGGCATTGAGGACCAAAGAGCTTCTCGGCCTCAAGTGGCTAGAATGATACTGGGGTGAGAATTCTTCTCAATATCAGTGCAGAGCTATGACATTTCAAAAATGTCGAATTGAAACCAGTTGAGGAGAAATAAGTTCAATTATTTTCTGATTTCTCCTTGGCTTTTTGTGTCTTCAGCAGGCATCTGGTAGTAGCAAGTGTGTGAGGCCCTTCGTAGAGGTCATTCGTGGAGGTGAATCTTGTTTCCTTTGCTTGGCCCTCTCCCAGTTTTCTTTTGCCTGCACAATTAGGTCATGACCCACTTCTGACAATAATTAGAATCACAGGACACCATTTGCAAGATTCAGATAGGAAAATAGAATGGGCTAACACTAAGTTTCACACAAAAATTATTCACAGAGCATTGGGCTTACATTAACTGTCTATACCAGAGATGCGAAAAAGGGCCAGTGACAAATTTAGGTCCTGATTTAATCAGGTAGCCTGGAAGGCAGCCAGCATGTCAGGATAGCTCAGAGAGGGTAGTGCATGTTTTTCCCTCCCTCCCAATCTGCTTGTGGGCGTTCAGACTTCATTCCTAAGCAAGAGCCACTAAGTACTTGAATGCTTTACAAAGCACTTCAAAATTCATTCTAATCAAGCTTCAGATGTTAACTATGGAAATCGTTGAACCAATGTCAAACGGGGCTCAGAATCATTTCTAGGATTTATTTTCTTCACCTTTGTCCCTTCAAAAGTCAACTGGGTTTCGCCATACCAAAAGCTTTTATGGCCTGAAAAAGTGAGGATCTGAAATAAATGAGCTTTTGAAGGGTCCTTAGCATTTGGAAATGTTCTGAGCAGGAAGTAGGCACCTTCCCACACAATACAGACAGCAAAGTTATGGAGTCCACAGAAAGAGGATGGCCTGGCCTTGAGGCCCACAGTGTGGGTGTAGGCTCACCCACTGAGTTCTCTTAGGCTTAGGGCAAGTTGATTTTTTTTTATTATTATACTTTAAGTTTTAGGGTACATGTGCACAATGTGCAGGTTTGTTACATATGTATACATGTGCCATGTTGGTGTGCTACACCCATTAACTCGTCATTTAACATTAGGTATATCTCCTAATGCTATCCCTCCCCCCGCCCCCACCCCAAAACAGGCCCTGGTGTGTGATGTTCTACTTCCTGGGTCCATGTGTTCTCATTGTTCAATTCCCACCTATGAGTAAGAACATGCAGTGTTTGGTTTTTTGTCCTTGCTATAGTTTGCTGAGAATGATGGTTTCCAGCTTCATCCATGTACCTACAAAGGACATGAACTCATCATTTTTTATGGCTGCATAGTATTCCATGGTGTATATGTGCCACATTTTCTTAATCCAGTCTATCATTGTTGGACATTTGGCTTGGTTCCAAGTCTTTGCTATTGTGATTAGTGCCACAATAAACATATGTGTGCATGTGTCTTTATAGCAGCATGATTTATAATCCTTTGGGTATATACCCAGTAATGGGATTGCTGGGTCAAATGGCATTTCTAGTTCTAGATCCCTGAGGAATCGCCACACTGACTTCTACGATGGTTGAACTAGTTTACAGTCCCACCAACAGTGTAAAAGTGTTCCTATTTCTCCACATCCTCTCCAGCACCCGTTGTTTCCTGACTTTTTAATGATCTCCATTCTAACTGGTGTGAGATGGTATCTCATTGTGGTTTTGATTTGCATTTCTCTGATGGCCAGTGATGATGAGCATTTTTTCATGTGTCTTTTGGCTGCATAAATGTCTTCTTTTGAGAAGTGTCTGTTCATATCCTTCGCCCACTTGTTGATGGGGTTGGTTGTTTTTTTCTTGTAAATTTGTTTGAGTTCATTGTAGATTCTGGATATTAGCCCTTTGTCAGATGAGTAGATTGCAAAAATTTTCTCCCATTCTGTAGGTCGCCTATTCACTCTGATGGTAGTTTCTTTTGCTGTGCAGAAGCTCTTTAGTTTAATTAGATCCCATTTGTCAATTTTGGCTTTTGTTGCCCTTGCTTTTGGTGTTTTAGACATGAAGTCCTTGCCCACGCCTATGTCCTGAATGGTATTGCCTACGTTTTCTTCTAGGGTTTTTGTGGTTTTAGGTCTAACATTTAAGTCTTTAATCCATCTTGAATTAATTTTTGTATAAGGTGTAAGGAAGGGATCCAGTTTCAGCTTTCTCCATATGGCTAGTCAGTTTTCCCAGCACCATTTATTAAATAGGGAATCCTTTCCCCATTTCTTGTTTTTGTCAGGTTTGTCAAAGATTAGATAGTTGTAGATATGTGGCATTATTTCTGAGGGCTCTGTTCTGTTCCATTGGTCTATATCTCTGTTTTGGTACCAGTACCATGCTGTTTTGGTTACTGTAGCTTTGTAGTATAGTTTGAAGTCAGGTAGCGAGATGCCTCCAGCTTTATTCTTTTGGCTTAGGATGGACTTGGCAATGCAGGCTCTGTTTTGGTTCCATATGAACTTTAAAGTAGTTTTTTCCAGTTCTGTGAAGAAAGTCATTGGTAGCTTGATGGGGATGGCATTGAATCTATAAATTACCTTGGACAGTATGGCCATTTTCACAATATTGATTCTTCCCACCCATGAGCATGGAATGTTCTTCCATTTGTTTGTATCCTCTTTTATTTCATTGAGCAGTGGTTTGTAGTTCTCCTTGAAGAAGTCCTTCACATCCCTTGTAAGTTGGATTCCTAGGTATTTTATTCTCTTTGAAGCAATTGTGAATAGGAGTTCATTCCTGATTTGGCTCTCTGTTTGTCTGTTATTGGTGTATAAGAATGCTTGTGATTTTTGCACATTGATTTTGTATCCTGAGACTTTGCTGAAGTTGCCTATCAGCTTAAGGAGATTTGGGGCTGAGATGATGGGGTTTTCTGGATATACAATCATGTCATCTGCAAACAGGGACAATTTGACTTCCTCTTTTCCTGATTGAATACCCTTTATTTCCTTCTCCTGCCTGATTGCCCTGGCCAGAACTTCCAACACTATGTTGAATAGGAGTGGTGAGAGAGGGCATCCCTGTCTTGTGCCAGTTTTCAAAGGGAATGCTTCCAGTTTTTGCCCATTCAGTATGATATTGGTTGTGGGTTTGTCATAGATAGCTCTTATTATTTTGAGATACGTCCCATCAACATCTAATTTATTGAGAGTTTTTAGCATGAAGTGTTGTTGAATTTTGTCAAAGGCCTTTTCTGCATCTATTGAGATAATCATGTGGTTTTTGTCTTTGGTTCTGTTTATATGCTGGATTACATTTATTGATTTGCATATGTTGAACCAGCCTTGCATCCCAGGGATGAAGCCCACTTGATCACGGTGAATAAGATTTTTGATGTGCTGCTGGATTCAGTTTGCCAGTATTTTACTGAGGATTTTTGCGTCGATGTTCATCAGGGATATTGGTCTAAAATTGTCTTTTTTTGTTGTGTCTCTGCCAGGCTTTGGTATCAGGATGATGCTGGCCTCATAAAATGAGTTAGGGAGGATTCCCTCTTTTTCTACTGATTGGAATAGTTTCAGAACGAATGGTACCAGCTCCTCCTTGTACCTCTGATAGAATTCGGCTGTGAATCCATCTTGTCCTGGACTTTTTTTGGTTGGTAAGTTATTAATTATTGCCTCAATTTCAGAGCCTGTTATTGGTCTATTCAGAAATTCAACTTCTTTCTGGTTTAGTCTTGGGAGGGTGTATGTGTCGAATTTATCCATTTCTTCTGGATTTTCTAGTTTATTTGTGTAGAGCTGTTTATAGTATTCTCTGATGGTAGTTAGTATTTCTGTGGGATTGGTGGTGATATCCCCTTTATCATTTTTTGTTGCATCTATTTGATTCTTCTCTCTTTTCTTCTTTATTAGTCTTGCTAGCGGTCTGTCAATTTTGTTGAAAAGGGCAAGTTGATTTTCTTCTCACCAAACCTCCCTCAGGTCTTCAAACCCTCAATCTTGTGCCTGCTCTACTGTTCTCTCAGAGCTCATCACTGCTTGCAAATAGATTAGTAGTTCAACTCATCAAGCATCCTTACAATCAACTGGATAAGCACACACAAGTCCAGAAAAATGAACTGAAAAGTCCTTCAGGTTCAGTTATTATCTTTTCACTTCTATGGAATCCACAGGTGGCGTAGAAGTGGCTCTGCTTCTTTCTCCGCTAGTTTTTCCAACCCACAGTGAGTGTGGGCCACTCACAATCCCTATCCCACAGGGCGCTTTCAGTTAACTACTTTTGCCAATGTCACTAGGGGAAAATTCTTGCTTTTTTTTTTTTTCATGCTTTTACATTTCTACCTCCTCTTCTCTTGCCCTGCCTCTTTTCTGGTGTCAACTGTCAGTCATTCAGTTTCATCTTTTCTATGCAGTGTGGACCCGGGTGAAGGACGTACTGAGGAAGATGCTCAGATTCCAGGTGTAGCTTGACAATCAGACGTGGCACTCTGCTATGATGGCCAACATCATAGAGTTGCTTCCTTGTGTCCTATTCTTTCTTTACTTTGAGTTTCCTTACCAAATGCCTCTTTTTGCTCTCTAGGCCTTTGGATGTACTGGTCCCCAAGATGCAGGGAGTGGGTTGGGAGTGAGGATAGGTTCCTTCTCCCAGTACACATGTGGACCTGTCTCCTTGGCTACTCCTCCATATGTAAGATATATATTTTCTGAGTCTCATTCTTTGGAAGTTATATCTGAGAATATGAATATAGAGACTATAGACTAAAATAACTAAAGAAAGGACTAGATCTGACATTTTTGAAATATATGATTGGGTCAATATATTCATGGGCTATGATATAAGATTTTGCTTTGGCTGTCAAGCTGACTGTTCTGGGTCTCATTCCCTCAAGTCTCTGCTGGTAACAGATCACCTTATTTATGTTTAATGAATGGATGTCATTTTATTAATTCTTAATGTCTTACTGATTTATCCAGCAGACTAATATATTTTCATTTGAGGAAAGACTTTGATACTTTAATATAAAACCTAAAGGTGAAATATCAGAATTAAATGGCAATTTGATGAAGGATTCAATCAAACTTGAAATTTTGTTCCAGTTTTGGCATTTACTAGCCATGTTACCTTGAGTATCTCATTTAACAGCCTCAGTTGCCTCAGATTTCAAACATGAGATAGCAATAGCTGTGTTCTGTGATTTAAAATATGTGTAATCCAGTGCTTATCAAAGTTTAGTGTGAAGACTCATCTGGACAATATGTTAAAACCCAAGATTCCTGGGCCTTGTGGCTAGGACAGATTCTGATTGGTAGGTCTGGGTAGTGCCTGAGAAAATTTGCATTTCTAATAAGACCTCAGATGATGCTGATAGTGGACCACACTTTGAATAACACTAGCATGATAACAAGTTAGCGGTTCTTGTACCTGGCTGTGAAACAGGATCATGTGCTTGTCTATAATGCATAATCTTAGGCTCCATTTCTGGTGAATGTGATTCTATAATCTTGGGAGGAGCCAGGAAATCTTTTAAAACCCCCAGGAAATTATTTGTTGTTGTTTATATCCTCAATTATATTGTTTTTTAAAAATAATTTTAGACTTGCAGAAATGTTTCCAAAATTGTAGAGAGTTTATGTATCACCTCATCCACCTTCCCCTGATGTTAACCATTTATATCATCCCAATACAATAATAAAAATTGGAAAATTAACATTGGTGCAATATTGTTAACTATTCACTCCTCAGGAAATTCTGACATGACTAGTCTTTGGCAGACTGAATAACAGCCCCTGAAGATGTCCACATCCTGATCCCAGAACCTGTGTATGTCAACTTGTACAGCAAAATAGACTTTGTAGATGTGACTAAATTAGGAATCATGAGATGCAGACATTGCTTGGATCATCCAGGTGACTGGGTGTAATCACAATGGTCCTTATAATCATAACGGACACAGGAAGAGTTAGCATCAGAGAAGAAGCAATGTGATAATGGAAGTGGAAGGAGAAAAGGCATTGTGATATAGCCTATGAGCCAAGAAATGAGGACAGCCTCAAAAAGCTGGAAAAGTCAAGTGAAGAGTTTATTTCTCAGAGCTTCAAGAAGGAGCCAGCCCTATCTCAACGCCTTGACTTTAGCTATGGGAGAATCATGTTAGATTTCTGGCTTCCTAAATGGTAAGAGAATAAATGTGTATTGTTTTAAGCCACTAAGTCATTTTTATAGAAACAGAAGGAAACTAATACACAGTGTATGGATAGTGTTTGAGGACCACTAAGCCTGGCCAGTTTTGTTGAAGAAATTACATAAGACAGGCAATATGAAAATGATGAGACTCATATTAACGTATATATAGTAGGGGCTCAAGAAAAGGTATTTGGCTACCAAAAACAACAAAGGCAGCAATAAGAAAACTACATACTTGCCTAATTTCTGGGGTTACGTTTTCTGAGACAGTGTATTATCTTAATTAGGTAAAATTGACAAAGATAACTGTCCTGGAATGTTATAGATGGTCCTTGTTTTGCTCTCTCTACACCTTCCTACAAAGGAATTGGTTTGATTCTTGAGGGCTTCCAGCTACCTCCTTCAGTTGTTTATGTTTTCCTTATCTTTACTGAGAATGGTATTGCTATTATTTAACACACACATACCCCATTTAGAGCTTTGCATTGTTTGGTACACCTTATTTTGAAAAAGAGCTTTTAAAAATAGTGTTTTCTTATTGATTCATATTATCTTTTTGATCTCTATTTATAACTTATTTTCCTTTTCACTATTCATTTTAATCTGAGATATTGTATTACCTTTTATTTGTTTAAATTTTTTATTTTTCTTTCTCTATATTGAATTTTGTCCCAATTCCTGTTTTCTTTTTAATGATAATCTTTTTTGCACTTATTTTGTTCAGTGTATTTTTCTACCAACCACTTTAGCCTACAATTAACTTATTATCTTTGTGTTGATATAGCTCTTGTTTATATTTTCCTTTTATTTTATTTATAATTTTGTAACTTATTTTTATAATTGTAGCAGGAAGTCTGGTCTTTGGTGGATAGGAGAGCAAGTCCACTATAAAAGGAACAATTGTGGGCCTCTTTCTCTCCAGCCAACTCTGCAAGTCTTGTTCTTAATAAAGGTCATATTCTACTCAATGTTGATTCTCAAACACACACACCTTTCTGAGTATATGTTGGAGACACTTTTGAAGGACAGTCATAGCTCTCCTTGAAAAATGGCAGTGAGAAATGAAAGTGTTTTCTCATGTCATGAATGACCGCCACTTATTCTAAAGTCCTTGGGAAAGGTGTGCACCTGCAGGGCGTGGGCAGCCAGTATACTCACGGCTGCCTCATGGAGGACCGATTTGGTTCCCTCGATACCTTCCAGGACCAAAATTATTTTCTTTGATAGGGCTGGAAGTTATTGGAAAGTTCCAGATGTTCTTTGAAAGCTGAAGTTGTTCTTCTAAATTTTAGTTTCACAAGTCTTTATGAAATCTAGGTTTCTGAAGATACACTTCTTTACATTGAAGATTTTGAGACTCAGTCAGCTTTCTTGGTTATGATAAACAAAAATGGGTCCTGGTTAACCAAAACCAAAAAAATAATTTACCTGGAATATATTGGGATAGCACCCAAAGATATTGGAAAATTGAAGAACCAGGTTCAAAACATAGGCAGGACCAAGGGAGACTGCCCATCAAGAATTCTTATTCAAGTTCACACCATAAAAACAGTCTGGTTAAGAAGCCACAATTAGTGGTACCTTCACTTCTCCATCAAGGCTAAGGAGTTTCCCATCAATAACTTTATAACTGCATTGGCATCCCTATTTTACACCCTCTAAGATCCAAAATCCTGTCCAGGAACATTCAACTGGCCAGTTCTTAGTCATTTTCTCTTACTCTGGCTGCTAAGGATAGCAAGGGGGAAAATCTCTCTTTGACTTTTATGGTGGGAGGCAGATTCCTAATGTAGAAAGAGTGTTAACAATAATGGTCAGTTTAAGTATTGCAGGTGTACACCATAGATGTCCCTTCCACCAATTGTGGTATAAAGGCAGCAGATGTTTAGGGTAGGTTCACCTCTGGGCTTTACAAGCCACACCATACAAGCAGCTATCTACTTTGGCTATACGTCTGCCTTCTTGGAGTATCCCTTTTTGAAGTCTCTCTTCTGTTGATCCTTAAAATAATTTACTTAACAATGGGACAATTTTCATTGCTTTTCTCTCTTTTTTTGTATAGGATCATATATTCTTAAAGCTGGTAGGGGTCTTAGAGATAATGGTATCAATTCAATAAGGATATGTTTTTACCTATAAGTAATGGAATACCCAAATAAAAAATAGCTTATATAATGAGACATTGTTTATTGACTTCTAGGCTGATGATTCAGCAGCTAAAATATTTGGCAGCACTCTGGGTCAGATTCTGTATAATCTTAGCTATGTCATGGTTTGCATGATGGCTTTCACAGTTGCAGGCATGAAAACTTCCAAAGGCATGTAGTTAGGAAGGAAATTTATTTTCAATAGCAATGAAAACCTTTCCCAGAGTGCCCCAGGCAGAATGATTGGTTTCATTGTATAAGACTGGTTAGGTGCCCATGTCCTAGCTGCAGGGGAAGCTAAAGAAATGAAAATAATTATGTTTATTTTCTATAGTAGGAGATGAGCTATAACAGCAAGAAACAAGCGGAGAGAATAACTCCTGGAACCAACAGTGTTTGCTTTAGCATCCAACCCAGTGCTTGACTTTTGAGAAATGAGCCCCATAAGAGTTAGGCAATTGCCCAAACTCACAAGATTAGTCAATGATAGATCCAGTAATGGAGTTGGTAAACCTAATTGAGCACTCCTTCTATTTTGTTTACCATTCTTCTAACATTCAGTTCATTCCTATTCATCCAAAAAGTTGTTTCTGAAGGACAAAAATTAGAATTTACTTTTCAAGTTGTCTGTGTCATCAAAGTCATCTTTATGAAATGAGGTGTGTAATATAACCCCATTGGCTAGTTGAATTTATGGAATGTTGGAGCATTTCATAAGGGAGTTTTTATCAGGGCAGATTTTATTTTATATCTTCCATGGCACAGTTTCTTGGACCACTATGTATTGTGTGCAAGTGAGCAATTTGCCCATCTGTAGTAAAATGTTTTGTTTTCTCTGAACAGCTAAGATTAGGGATAACATATTGGGAGGAGGAAGAGAAAGAGAAAAACAAAGAGAGAAAGAGCTGTAAAGAGATCAGGTAAGTATAGAAAATATATCAGATTATATTTTGAGGCAGGGCCAGTCCAATCTTCTAAGTTGAAGACTGGGCAATCCAGAGGCCCCTGGGCTCCTTTCTGGCTATGTTTTTGAAGGGCATTTAGAACATCTCATCCTTTTTGCCCACTTGTCTCTATGATACACAGTGTTCCAGCCACAGTGCTCCATGACAGATGGAGATAGTTTGAGTACCCTCTATGATACACAGTGTTCCAGCCACAGTGCTCCATGACAGATGGAGATAGTTTGAGTACCCTCTTATCATGATTGCTTTAGAAGTGGGCAATTATAGCCACTAGAGCATCTATGTAGATTTTATTTTGTTTCAGTGCTAACTAGGTTCTGAAGGTTGAGGACCTAAAATGAAGGAGAATACAAAAGATGTGGAAAGCAAGCAAACAAATTTATAATGAATTTCAAATTAAATAATAATAATAATAATAATAATAATAATAATAATTGGAAAGGAGGAAGAGAGGAACGGCTGAACATGTGAAAACCTACAGATATATTATGGTAGGATACAGAGTCTGGGTCTGTTAAAGATATGTTATTGCCTGTTCTTATACACAGAGTTTTTAAAACTTCTGCCCTATCTAGATCCCGCTTAGACAGCCCTATCTACTTTGCTACCTTGGTACTTTCTGGGCTCAGATGATTGGGCTAAGAGGAATGCCTTACGCAATATTTGCCTATGCATTAATCTGCAAATTTTGTAGCCTGGCTTGAAGAGATGAGCTGGATTAATTAGACTCTGACTCACATACTTTCCCCCAGTTTCTCTCCCTTCTTCAGATTTGAATTGAGGGACCAAGATTGATACTAGTTAGTGAGGGGTAGAAGGGCTAGAACTTTATGATATGGAGGCAGGACTGCTGGCTACATTGAGCCATGTGCAAGGTGAATGAGAAGAATCAGCTCATTGAGAAAGGCAGATGCACCAAGCTCAGAGAGAAGTAGAAGTTAGAAACCTTGCGAGAGAAAGAGAGGGATGGGAGAACCATAACTCCCTTTGATTTTTCTAGTTTCCAGTAAAAATGCCACTGAATTCCCATCTATTCTTCATTTTCTGTCCTTGGTCCACGAAATACCTGCATTCTCACCATTAACCCTACTTTGTATTTATGTTAGTATATTTCTGCTTTTTGTAAACATAAGAGATTTAACACATCAAGTATCCATATGCCCCACACTGTGAAAGTTCATTGCTAGAAGCTTTAGCCTGAGCTAAATTTTGTCCTCTCCCAAGGTCCTCTTTAAAAAGTTATATTCCTTTAAAGGCAATACTCCTATATCATTGCATATCTTCTACAATGGTAAATTCTTAGTCTATTGGGGAAAGTGAATTGTAGGTGAAGGTGAAGAGAGTAAAAGGAGAGGTTAGTAGTCAAACAGTAGCTACATTTTAGAGAAGAGCTTTCTGAGAGAGTAAAGCACTGAAAAGAAAAAGAAGAGTTGATGGATTTCAGAGGCAAATGATGATGACTTTCATTGTAAGTAGAGGCACTGATTAGAATCAGCAATCTTTAAGACTGAATTATTCTAATGGGCACTAAGCTGAATACCTGGTAGATACAATAATCTGCACAACAAACCCCCATGACACAAGTTTAGCAATGTAACACAACCTGCACTTGTACCCCTGAACTTAAAATAAAAGTTAAAAAAAGACTGAGTTACTGTCTTGACAACAGAAATGGAGTCAACCTAATAACTTCAGATCCTAGCACAGTGCTTGGCCTCTAGTAACAGTCAACAATTATCAAAAATAATTGAAAATGGAGAAAACAATGAAGGGGGATATAGTCAACACTGATGCATCATATGAGATCCCTGGAGGACTTTAATAAAACAAGACCCCAGGGGCTATCTCATGTTTTATTTTCCTCCTTTTTATAATGAGCAAAGTTTGAATAGCAAGGGAAAACTCTACAGAATGTTAAATCACAGACCAAGGACTTTCTACCTGAAAAATATTTTTTAACCATTTAAGTAAGCTGATATTTAAAAAGAATTTGCTTTTTTCTTCTATTTCCTCTACCTTTAGCATACAGAGAAGACAAGGTGGCCTCTCAGAACAAAGAATTAATCTAGGTTGCCCTGCAAATGACATAGTAGTAATTACAATTTTTTTAGAGCTATGGTGTTCTTTGCTTATAAAACCTTTGATCTAGGCTGAGAAAAGGTAGCAACAAGTTTTAGTAGTATTATTAGCTCCTCAGCGCAATCTCATGTTCTAAAATTATGGTTCTAAAATTACTAGTAGAGAATTTAGGACACTGATGAGATTTCAGGTCATTCTTCCCTCCCTGATTTAGAATTCTTTCTTTAAGAAATACCAGCAGCACAGATTTCTGAAGGGAGAAGACATTTTTGGCTGAACTTCAGGTATGGGTGTGCAAGAAATGAGCTCTACTTTCTATAAAAATAACGTTTATGTCTGTCCAAAAATCAGTCTTATTTATGTCTCTTTACTGAACCAGAGCCATTCATTTTGAGAATGTGAGCTCAAAATTATATGAAGGAATATGTGAGGAAATAAAAGAAAGCTACAATACCTCAGCCAAACCAGGTTGATTATTAACAATCTACCCCATGATGACACACATGACTGCAGAAGTTTGGATGTGATATACTATTAAAAACATATCTGGGCCAAAAAAAGAGAATATATTTTATAAATGATATAATTTTATTGATTTTCAAAGAGGATTTCAACTTCAAAAATATATCTAGATTGGGGATGGTGATGGAGGTATGGGGGAAGGAAGCATGCCATTGAAGAAGATAAAATGAATAAAAGGATAGTCTTTGAAATCCCTCAGTGTTACAGGCCCTCAAGCTCTTCAGCTTCCAGAGACTTTTTCCTGATTCCAAATTCTCTGTGATCCAGGGAGCCCAGGCATTTTTAGGCTACACTCTTTATGGGGACAGAAAAGACAGGATTGGTGAGGTAGTTCAGGGCCACTAAAGAGATGTGAGATGATAGGGTAGCAACATCAGAGGTTCAGACTACTTCAAAGGCTAGGATGGTAGTGTGAGCAGCTTAGGTGAGTTGTTTCAGTACATCTATTCTTTGTGGAAGGATGGTGGAAAGATAAGAAGGGTAGCTGATCATGGCTAGTTTCTCCGTTTTCTACCCCAAGAGTAAAAGGAGAATGGAAGACATTGATATATTAGGCTGAATTGTAGCAGGATTTGGCCATCATCTTAGCTAAACTATACAGAAATCTTAAAGCTTTTTGGAATTACCGTATCACAAGCTTAATTTTTAATACAATCATTTCTGTAGCTAATGAAAAACATTCACAGTTTGTTTTTGGCTTAGCCACTGGGGAATTTCTCAGCATGTGTACGCATTGGTCAGGTAGCAACAAACCTGCTGACACTGAGTGATGTCCACACTAAAGGCATGTATCTTCAGTTAACTCTTGTTCAAGAACCAGCTGTTTCATCTCATGATTTAGTTGTGACTCTGATGTCAGGCTTTGATTTTAGATAAAAAAAACTATCTAGACATCTATGAAGCTTTTCTTTGGCATCTTTGGCTTTTGCTTTTGATGTCTTCTATAGGACTTTTAGTCACAAAAAGAATTCACTTGAAAAACTACTTTTACCAAGATGAAGGATGACTTTATGAATGTTTTCTTCTGGGAATATTTGAATCTTTAATAAATGTACAGGGACAAAGAAATCTAGTTGAATAAATAGAATTTCAAACTCATGCAAGTTCATAAATTCATGGCATATATAACCCAACAGCTGCTCTGATAACCTGTGAAGCTCACTTTATGTTGCTGTTGTTTTCTTGGAAGGGTGGAGGAATTACTAAGGGAAAAGAAAATTTGTTAAACACTTACTATATTAGTCTGTTCTCATGCTGCTACTAAAGACATATCCAAGACTGGGTAATTGATAAAGGAAAGAGGTTTAATGGACTCAGTTTCACATGACTGAGGAGGCCTCACAATCATGGTAGAAGGCAAAGGAGGAGAAAAGGCACATCTTACATGGTGGCAGGCAAGAGTCGTGTGCAGGGGAACTGCCCTTTATAAAACCAACAGATTTCATGATACTTATTTACTATCATGAGAACAGCACAGGAAAACTCACTGCCATAGTTCAATTACCTCCCACTGGGTCCCTCTCACAACACGTGGGGATTATGGGAGCTACATTTCAACATGAGATTTGGGTGGGGACACAGCCAAACCATATCATTCCTCCCTTGGCCCCTCCCAAATCTCATGTCCTCACATTTCAAGACCAATCATGCTTTCCCAACAGTCCCCCAAAGTCTTAACTCATTTCAACATTTACTCAAAAGTCCACAGTCCAAAAGTCTTATCTGAGACAAGGCAAGTCCCTTCTGCCTATGAGCCTGTAAAATCAAAAGCAAGTTAGTTACTTCCTAGATACAGTGGGGTTACACACATTGGGTAAATACACCTGTTCCAAATGGGAGAAATTGGCCAAAATGAAGGGGCTACAGACCCCATGCAAGTCTGAAATTTAGTGGTGCAGTCAAATTTTAAAACTCCAAAATGATCTCCTTTGACTCCATGTCTGAAGTCCAGGTCACACTGATGCAAGTGATAGGTTCCCATGGTCTTGGGCAACTCTGCCCCTGTGATTTTGCAGGATACAGCCCCCTTCCTGGCTGCTTTCATGGGCTGGCATTGAATACCTACAGCTTTTACAGGCACACAGTACAAGCTGTTGATGGATCTACCATTCTTGGGGCTGGAGGACAGTGGCCTTCTCCTCACAGCTCCACTAGGCACTGCCCCAGTGGGTACACTGTGTGGGGGCTCCCACCCCATATTTCCATTCCACACTGCCCTAACAGAGTTTCTCCATGAAGGCTCCACCCCTGCAGCACACCTCTGCCTGGACATTCCAGCATTTCCATAAAGCCTCTGAAATCTAGATGGAGGTTCCCAAACCTCAGTTCTTGAATTCTGTGCTCCCACAGACCCAACACCATGTGTAAGCTGCCAAGGCTTGGGGCTTGCACCCTCTGAAGCAACGGTCTGAGCTGTATGTTGGCCACTTTTAGCCACAACTGAGACACAGGACACCAAGTCCCAAGACTGCACAAACAGCAAGGCCCTGGGCCCAGCCCATGACACCATTTTTTCCTCCTAGGCCTCTGGGCCTGTGATGGGAGGGGCTGACTTGAAGACCTCTGACATGCCCTGGAGACATTTTCCCCATTGTCTTGGCATTACTATTTGGCTCCTCATTATTTATGCAAATTTCTGCATCAGGCTTGAATTTCTCCCCAGAAAATGGGTTTTTCTTTTCTATCACATCATCAGGCTGCAAATTCTCTGAGCTTTTATGCTCTGCTTCCCTTTTGAATATAAGTTTCAATTCCAAGCCATATCTTCATGAATGAATGAAATTAAATGCTTTTGAGAGCACCCAAGTCACATCTTGAATGCTTTGGTGCTTAGAAATTTTTTCCACCAGATACCTTAAATCTTCTCTCTCAAGTTCAAAGTTCCACAGATCCTAGGGCAGGGGCAAAATGCCAGCAGTCTCCTTGCATAGCAAGAGTGACCTTTACTTCAGTTCCCAACAAGTTCCTCATTTTCATCTGAGACACCTCAGCCTGAACTTTATTGTCCATATCACTATCAGCATTTTGGTCAAAGCCATTCAACAAGTCTCTAGGAAGTTCCAAACTTTCCCACATCTTCCTGTCTTCTGAGCTCTCCAAGTCTCTGGGAAGTTCACAACTTTCCCACATTTTCCTATCTTCCTCTGAGCCCTCCAAAGTGTTCCAACCTCTGCCTGTTACCCAGTTCCAAAGTTGCTTCCTCATTTTTGGGTATCTTTACAGCAGCACCTCATTCTATTGGTACAAATTTACTGTATTAGTCCATTTTCATACTGCTATGAAGAAATACCCAAGACTAAGTAATTTAGAAAGGAAAGAGGTTTAATGAACTCACAGTTCCACATGGCTGGGGAGGCCTTACAATCATGGTGGAAGGCAAAGAAGGAGGAAAGACGTGTCTTATATGATGGCAGGCAAGAGCACATGTGCAGGAAAACTGCCTTTTATAAAATTATCAGCTCTTGTGAGAGTTACTCACTACCATGAGAACAGCATGGGAAAATTCCTCCCCATGATTCAATTACCTCCCACTGGGTCCCTCCCACAACATGTGGAGATTATAGGAGCTACAGTTCAACCTGAGATTTGGGTGGGGCCACAGCCAAACCATATCACTTACTAAGTTCTAGCATTGGTCTAGGGGATTTACATAATTTATCTCAATTATTATTCATGGCAGCTTTTGGAGGGAGGAGGTAGCTTTGCTTGCTTTAGAGAGGAAAAATATTGGGGTCTAGGGAAGTAAAATAACTTGTTAAATTAACAGAGCCTGGAGGCGAAAGAGCTGAGACTTGAAACTAGATGTGTTTTATATCTTTGTTTGTTCATTTGCTCCATCATTCCTCACTGACTTACTATGTGCCAGAAAGTGGGGACATGGCAGTGCATGAGAAAGCAAGATTTTGCCCTTATGAACTTTACATTGTAGTGAGGAGGACAGACAATATCAGTCTTCACAGATATTGTCTTCACAGTCAGGTTATGTAAGACCTTATAAGCTAATGTAAGGAGTTTGCATTTTGTTCTGAGTATGATGGGAAATCAGAATGTTTTCAGCCAAGAGAGGTACCGTCTGGCTTCCATTTTCAAAAGATACACTATACCTGTTTTGTGAGTGGTTGACTCTTGGGAGACAAAAGACGAGCAGGGGAAGTTGTTGGAAGGCAACTGCCATGAAAGTGAGAGATGACAGTAGCATGGACTAGGTTGGTGCTGAGGAAGTGGTAAGAAGTGGTGAGATTCATAATAGATCATCTCTTCAAGATTGTGCTCCTTTTATTATTTTCTTTTAGGCAGGGCAGAGCTTTTTCAACCCACTTTGGACTTTCTCTTTTTGTGGCTTATACTTCTCTATCCTCAGACCTAGTGGGAGAGATCAAAGTAGATGACCAACCAGTCCCAGGCAGGGGATAGGGACTTTATCCCTGGTGAGGATAAGGCAATTCAGGGCTCAAACATATCATGGTGTTTTCATAAATTGTCTTTTTGTTATCCTTCATTGGATTGTTAATTGCTGCACCCTTGACTTGAGACTTTATGTAATAATATTTTTTAAACGTGTGTTGTTTATATAATTTTAGCTTCCAAAAATGTTTTAAGGCCTAGACATATCAGCCTTTATTTGCACTGTGATTTCAAAATAGACCAAGATAGTTCTGAGATTAGAACTTTCCCGGCACCAGGGAATCTGAACTAGTCATTGTTGGCCTGAGAATGAAATGTGCTCATTAACAAAGAAAATTGGAAACTGGGTGGCATTTTTCCATTAGTGCTTTGCTTTCTGATGCATTAATGAACTTTGCTACTGCTCTAGAAACTATTAATAATTCTCCCCTTGAAAATACTACTCCTATAAACCTCCCCAAATACTATACTACTGACCTTCCATCAATAAGGCATGAGATTTAAAAACTTTTAAAATTGTTTGGACGGTGCTGCTGATGGATAATATATTAATCAAAGTTATTTTTGTTCTGAGTTACAGAAACCAACCTGCACTGATCTAAACAACAACAATAACAACAAAATATGCAATTTGTTGTACAAGTGTTTTATGTAACTAAGAGGATCAAGTTGCTGGTGGTTGTTGGGTACCACTGGAATCAGGAATTAGAAAACCACTGGGAACTCAGGAAGTTTTTCCCCTTCCTTTTCTCATCATGCCTTTCTTGCTGAAGGTCTGCCAGGTTCTCAGCAATGGGATCAAGCTAAGTGAATCAGGCTTCTGGGAGAGCAGGGCTTTGTCTGTGGCCACATTACTACAGCCTTTCCCTCCATGAGAAATAAGTACTTTGCATGATCAATGGTCCCATTTGCCTGGGATTGTCCTGCTTTAGTAATGGAAGTCCTGCATCCTGGGTGACTGGGAAGGTTGGCCACCCTACATGATGCAGTATTGTCTGTGGAGGGGGCATAATGCGGATGTTGGGAGTGCAGCTTCAAGTTCAAAGGAAGTGAGAACAGAAAAGACCCAAATTCGGTCTAAAAAATACTTCACAGCTGTTCTTGTAGCTTTGTCTAGTTTGAATTCAAGATAATTTAGCCAGTGATGTTAGGAACATATAGACATAACCTACATCTTCTAAAAGGCAGCTATTCTGGACATATTTTCACCATTATTATGTCATCTGCACTGCAACAGGTATAGTGCCCCACCAAACAAGAGGGAACTAATTTTGGACCAAGACAACTAATATTTCCTACACTTTAGTAATGGCAAATCTTTTGCAGCACTATTTGATTTTTGTCACAGTTCCTCTCTGTTCAGATGTAATAGAAAGGGTAAACCCTGTACAATGATTAGTGATTCCTCATCCTTTTTCCTCCTTCATGATCTTAGAGCAAATAATCTAACTATTATCAACCTCAGTTTCCTTATTGTCAAGTGGAAAAGGAGAAAGATGAGACCAGATGGCTCTTGGTCTCTGACTTCCTAGATCTACAGCTTCTTGTGGCCACAGACTATCCTCTCATGCTTACTGTCATAAGGCTCTCCTTCTTTTCACTCTTAGTGTTATAAATTTAAATTCTGTGAGCTTTTCCAGATGATAGAGCTGGAAATTATTCTTATGAGACCCCATAACCATAGGGACTGATGAGACATTACCCTCTTGCTTGTTTCCTGCATTGGCTTGTACAACATCAGGAAATACCCTGAAAGACAAAACCTTATATTGATCATGGTCTTCCTTTGGTCTCTCCTCTACACCACCCATCTGAAGGCATAGATCGAGCATGCCACACCTTCTTCTATTTGATCACAGCCATCGCAAGCTGCACGTCGTTGCAAAAGTCCTTAAATTCACAATCTAATCATTATCTCTAGGCTGAATAAATGATAGGTCTCACATTAGTACAGAAGGTACCACTGTTTTTCAAATGTATGTTTAAGTTAATTGGACAGTGTGAATACTTGTACATGTTATGCATTAAGTCTTAGGCAATTGTACATCTATTATTACATTTAATTTGATTTATCTCATTTACAAAGTTTTAAAATCTTGGCTCTAGGCTTTGTTGGGCAGCTCATTGTCATTCTCTGAGTAACATCATGAGCTTCCCGTAACTGCATGCCTCTGCATGTTATTCTCTCTTCTGGAATGCTTTTCACTTAGATTTTCCTTGGAAAACTCCTTCTCATCTTTCGATACATATCTAAAATGTCACTTTCCTTGAGTAGTTTTTCTCTTTTTTGAATTTCAAAGATAACATGTTTTTCTCATCTTGGCTTCTAGAACAAACTATGCACCAACAGGGTAAATAATCATACCCTTATATGAGTTTACATGTTAGACTTCCCTTTTGGCTGGTGATGGGGTACACAGCAGGGCTTGGAAAATAAATTCAGTAACATTTACAGAGCAGCCACTCTGCCACACACTGTTCTGTGGCCTTATCTTTCTGGAGTCTTCCCAAACCAGAGGTTGAAACAAGGACTTGGGTACAGAAAATTTATCTGAGTTGATCCCAAGAAGTACAAGTAAAGAAAGTCAGTCAGGAAAGGTGCATTAATTACTAGATTACTACTTCTGGCACCAGGGGCTCAGTCCCCCTGGGGACCCTCTGAGAACATATCTGTTCAACATGCCTCAAAATTTCCCCACTGGATGACAAGGAGGCTGTGGCATGAATCCAATGGTTTTGGCTGAGGGTTATCCCCAGGAATGTGGTACCCCCTCCCTTCCTGGAAGTACCTGTTCCTATGGTGCCAGAGAAAGTCCTTAGAAACAGAATCTGACACTTGGGACAGGATGCTCAGCATGCAGGAAAGTATCCGATACAGCCATAGGTAAAGTTCAGGTAGGCTGTAGGTGAGGCCCTTTGGGAGGCCTAGGCAGGCAGATCACTTGAGGTCACGAGTTCAAGACTAGCCTGGCCAACATGGCAAAACCCTATCTCTACCAAAATGAAAAAACTAGCCAAGTGTGGTGGCTTGAGCCTGTAGTCCCAGTTACTTGGGAGCCTAAGGCAAGAGAAACGCTTGAACCCAGGAGGCAGAAGTTGCAGTGAGCTGAGATCACACCACTGTACTCCAGCCTGAGCAACAGAGCAAGACTCTCTCTCTCTCTAAAAAAAAAAAAAAAAGCCTGTTACGGGTCTGTTATATAGTACATATGCAATAATATTCCATAAATGGATACTTGTAGAAGTTATTGCTTATTCCTTTAAAAAGTTGTTATTGGATGATTGTCTTTTAAAAATACATATAAATATACAAAATAAAATGAAAATAACCCATAATCCTAACACCTAGGTAAACCATTTTAAAATGTACATAGTAGAAGCAATCAAAAAAGTATTAAAAGTAAAAAATAATAAATAAAATTTTTGTCCTCCCATCCCTGGTCCCATTTCTTTCTCTTCCAGAGATAAGTACTGTACTATCAAGAGCTGTCTGAGTATCCATCCAGAAACAAAACTTATCTATATAGCAGTATATGATTGGTATATTCTTTCTATTTGACCAGAAAGGATCATCTTCTGCACACATGATGCACTCTGCTTGACTCTCCTTTCATATCTGCCAACAAGGCTCATCTCCCAGAGAATTGCATGGTTCAGTCCCTCACCCTCAAGTCTCTGCTCAAACATCACCTCCGCATAGAGACTTTCCCTATCTAATACCAACCCGTCACTCTATTTCTTTACTCTCATTTGTCTCACTACTCTCTTCCATTAAATATATTGTGTGTATATAAATATATATATGTATTTATATGTGTGTGTGTATATATATAGTATATTTATTTGTCCTCCCCTGTGAGAATGTTAGCTCTAAGAGTACAAAGGTTTTGCTAGGTTGGGCTGTATCCCCAGCACACAGGACATTGCCTGACAGGTAGTAGGTATTTAATAAATATTTGTTCATTAAATGAATGAAATAATTGATAATTAATTCCATACAAAGGAACCTTGTTTTTAGTGACTTTTAAAGTTAGGTTAAAGGCTAATTTCTTGTTCAATGGTGGAATTAGGAGCAACTTAATTTTCTTCTATAAGCAAGGGGGTCTTCAAACAGAGTCTACAGACTCTCCAGGTATAAAACCAAAGTTTTAATATAGTTTTATATTCTCCCTAGTCTCATTAGGAAAGAAAACAGAGGACTCCAAAGCAGGAGAAAGTAAATAATTACAGGGTTTGGTGGCTGCTGAGGAGACTTGGAGAGAACAACATTGTCTCAGCAGCCAGTGGGGCTGAGTCATTTCCGAAATAGGGGAGGGGAAGCAGACCACAGTTTCAGCCATTGTTAGAGCAGTGTCCCCAACTACAAATACAGCCTATTACTTGTGGCCATTCTAGAGAACCTGGGAGCCTGCTCTTTTATGGAGATCATTATGGGTTATCAGAGCCCCTATTATGGAGCAGCCAGGAATTCAGAAGCTAAGCTTTCCCTAACCAACTATCTTATCAATCTTTTAATGTATGTATCATTTCATAAGAAGACACTTCATTTGCATCAGTATTTAAAGACTACATTATAATTTAATTTCAACTGAATTTCATCTTTCTAAAGACCTGCAGGTTTTAACTAATTTAGGGAGTGGCCTATTGTTCAAAAGCAGATAGTCTTGTTATAAACTAGGCATTTGTTTAATGTGGCTCAGATTCCACAAAAGACCGTTTTTCCCAGGGACACTCAATGCAAGACTGTGTCATAATACGTTGGATGGATGGACTTTTATTCATATAACCAGCTCCTTCTTAAAGAGCTTTCAGGTTGGATTTAGTTATTTTCCTAGCAATGCAATGCTTCAGTAAATATTCTTATACATAGATAGCTTGGCATAATTTTGTAGAAATCTCTGAAAGGAAATTTCTAGCAGTGGAATGACCAGATCCAAGAATTTGTCCTCCAACGTGCCTTCACTAATCTTAGATTCTTACCTGTAGCGTATCACAGTACCTGGTTCTCCATATCCTGAGTAGGATACAAGTGAAATATCTACATGTGTGTATACCAAGAGAGTTTTAGAATTATGTCTCCGTAATTGTGAATGAGGCTAAAATTGGTTAACATGTTGATTGTATTTATTTTCTTGTGAATTTCCTGTTCATATTTTTCATCTACTATTTTTCTATTTAGTGTTTTCTTTTTGATGGGTATAGCAAGTGATTTTTTAAAATCAATCCCTCTAAAAACATACGGGAATGAGTACTTTTTAAAAACTTTATTCTCAAAAAGTAGTAGCAGTAGCAGCAGCAGCAGCAGCAACAGAAAATACTCTACAATTCAGGTCCCTCTTTCTTCTGGAAATTAGTTATTTTTCAGTTTCATTATAGTAACTTTTTTAAAGTTCAAAATCAGATGATAGTTGATGGGCAGAGTCATAAATATGGGTAAATATTTGTCAGTCTTAGTAGTAAGAAATACCAACATTTAGTCTTAGTAGTAAGAAATATCAAAATGTATCCTTAATTTCATATTGTTGAAGAAATAATATTAACAGGAGTTAAAACCATTTTTGTTACAAATTTTTCGAAACTATTTCAATTCATTTAACACTAATTAACTTACTTTTAGACTACTGAACTTTTTAAAAAGTAGTACTTACATTATCTCTACACTTTCCTTCTAATGCTTCAATTTAGATTTTTTTTTTACACTGGCACTAGGTATCCAAGGAAGTTCCTGGATTTTAAAGGACAATTAATCTCCAAAATATCCAACATGCTATGACACCAGACATGATTTGAATACTTACCAACTTCCTATCTCAGGTTGTTTTCACTATCTATAAATCTGTATGGCAGACCTAGGTTAATGAATTATATATTATGGACTCTTCAGCTTAGACCAGGAACTATTAAATTGCTAGACTTTAATGCTCACATCAATCACCCAATTCTAAAATAAGAACTTTATTTTTCTTCTGACATAGTTAAGAGATAATTTAAAGGAATAATACATATTAGACTTTTCTCTTAAAGGAGTGCCCACATTGTTGAAATGCTGAAGTTTTGAAAACATTTTCTTAATATGGTAGCAGTTTGCTTAGGTGAAATTATCTGAGATAAGTATTCCAGAAAAGAGGCCAACTTTACAGGATCAATCAGACTCACAATATGTTTAAGGCATGAAAGTTAAATGAAAGTGTTTATAAAGCTAATATCTCAGTAGGTTACAAGTTATTATAGCAGAGTAATATATCTTTTGATTATTAGAAACTTTCATCATGAAATATTGAATTTTTGACTACACAGTCATTATTCTACATTAAAATGTAAGATGTTATCTCCCTGGAAGCATAAAGATCACCCAAAGAGTTTCTCATTGATCTGTGATTTATATTTGACACCGCTTATTTCACTTATATACTGATATACTTCATGATGAACAGCCTAATTTAATCTCTCATATGTGGTGGTGATCACTGTTAAAATTTATTATTCATGACATGCAATAGCTGGGGTCATATGTGGCATTGCTATAATATAAGATAATGTGCAGACACTCTTCTGAGCATTCCACATGAATTATCTCATTTCAACCTCACAACAATCCTAGAAGGCAAGTACTGTTAAATCTAATTCCTGGGGGAAGAGTCTGAGGCACAGAGATATTTATTTAAAATGGCTATAGCCTTAGTAACTCAGACAAGTGGATGATAGAGCTGGCTGGCTAACTCGAGAATCCGTAACCTTCACTATGTAGTTCCTTCCTGTAGAAACACCATCATGGCCAGCCTGCTGGTGTTTGCTATCCCACTAGTCTGCCACCTGCTGCTTTTCCCCACCCTCTCCTGTAAGGCCACAGATATCAAACACACACACACGCATGCACGCACACACTAGAGGTAAAGAATTATAACAGTTTAGAGCACAACAGCCAAAATGTTCTATTGTCTCCTCTTCATGTTTAAAGCCTTTCTCACGTATTTGCAACATCATTCAGGCTTTTTTCTGAAAGGACATTTTCATTCCGTTCAACATGTATCTGCCTTTTATGACATCTGAAAAAGTCACCACTTTCTGAACTTTAAATTCCAGATTCTTTACACAGAGGAAACAGCCCTTCTCCTCTGCCAAGTAAAAGCAGTAGGTAAGAGTTGAAGCAGACACTTAGAAAAAATTGAAAAATCTGAGAAAATTGTTTTGCCTCAATTTCAAGTCTTAAATCATAACTTCTTCTTTGAAATATAAAAATCTCACTGTGCAGGAAGAAAGAAATTTAGTGTTATTTTACCGAAGCCAATCCATTGTCTACATATAACACGTTTCTGTCACTTGTAACATTCTGAAAGGATACAGTTGAATTTGGTGGCAAGAATGTCTTAAAACTAAGCAGATGATAAGTACTATTATGTATGTTCAATTGGCTTTGTAAAGATGTTTAATTACTTTCTTCTTAGCTGTCATTTAATACTCAGGCTTTCCCATTCCTGACATTCATGACAATAGTAAAACACTAGAAGGTGAATTCAGAAATACACTGAGAGGAAAACAAGACTGAGGAAAACAAGACTGAGCCCTCTTCAAACCCATACAAAAAGACTGTGTTAGATTGGAGTTAGAACCAAAGCAAGATTAAACATCTAAGTTTCAGGGTACATAACACTAAATAGCATAGGATTTTAAAGAATGATCTCTGTTTCTTAGAGCCTGTTTTGCTAAGGTAGAGGCTGTGACTAGAAAAAAAGGAACAGAAAATACTTGAATAGCCTTAACATCATTCCAAATTGGCTTTACTGTAAGGGACCTCAGAGTTTATTGGTGGTGTGGCTGAAACGTGTCCTGCATTTGACTACGTTGTGTTCCATACTAAGGAAACAAACAATAATAGCTAAAGTGATTGATACACACTATTGCGGATCAGTTTGCTTTGTAAGATGATCATGAATACTTACTTTGCAGTTCACAAATATCTCAAGCCCCTCAAAAGACAGTTTTTACCAGAGCAAATGGCTTCATGATCACAATAAATCCTTGGGAATCTTCATCATATTCTCACAACTTAAGTATAAGCAAAATGCAGAGTGTGTAAAAGGTACACATTCATGACTTGAATAAACCTTAGTGCTCATTTAATTCAACATTTTCCTTTTACAAGGGAGGAAAAGACAATCCAGACTGTGAGTGTTAAAACAGTATGTTTGTCATAAAGTGAGGGAGAAACCAGAAGCAGAAGCAAAACTCCCTGTGGACACTGGAGCTTCTGACTCTTGGGGTAATGACCACAACTTTGAGCCTGGCCCTATGTTCCGGCCCCCTCTGTCTCTCATCAGAGGCTCCTTTCACTCTTCTCTGGCCCTTTCCAGTTCCTCAAATGTACTAGCCTCTTCCTATATCAGGGATTTCCAAACTGCTGCTGTCTCTGGCTGGGCTACTTTTCCCACCGATTTCCCCTAGTTAATACCTACTCAACCATCAGCTTTTACTAAACGCTTTATCACCTGCTCCAGCATGTTTTCCTGTCTCTTGCCTTCTCATCATGTTTTCATATTTACTTTTATTTGTTTACTAAATTAATATTCACCATGCCCCCTGTGGACTGTCCTCTCAAGAAGGGTATTACCTATGAGCATTTTTCATTCCCATTCTGTCACCAGCATAGTGACTGATACACAGAACATGTTCAATATGTATTTTAAGTGAATGAATGCTGTGGATGGATATATTATTTCCACTGAGGCGGGTTTGGTGAGGCTGAAGTTGTGGATAAGCTGAGTTACTAAGAGGATGTAGAAAGAACAAACAAAAGGATTTTTGCTAGGAAGACAAACTTTTTGTATTTCCTGGTTTAGATCAATGTCCCTACTGATTGCCAGTTTAAATTCTGTGATAATTGGTTCCATCACAGATGGATCATTCCCCAGTTCTTTTATAAGGACACATATAACTTTAACCAACATAGGCACAAAAGTGCCAATACAATAGACTATTGAAGCTGAAAGAGGCATTATAAAACTCCTGGTTAAATGCTCCATTTTATTTTATTTTTAACTTTTATTTTAGGTTCAGGGGTACATGTGCAGGTTTATTATATATGTAAATTGTATATCACAGGGTTTTGGTGTACAGATTTTTTCATCATGCAGTTAATAGGCACCTGATAGGTAGTTTTTCAATCCTTTCCCTCCTCTCACCTTCCAGCTTCAAGTAGCCCCCAATGTCTGTTCTTACCTTCTTTGTGTTCATGTGTACTCAATGTTTTGCTCCCACTTATAAGTGAAAACATGTGACTTTTTTCTTCTGTGTTAGTTTGCTTAGGACAATGGCCTCCAACTCCATCCATGTTGCTGCAAAGGACATGATCTTATTCTTTTTATGGCTGTGTAGTATTCCATGGTGTGTAGTGTGTGTGTGTGTGTGTGTGTGTGTGTGTGTGTGTGTGTCTGTATCACATTTTCCTTATCCTATCTACCGATTTATATTTTTTTGGGTATATACCATGGTGTGTATTTTGTGTGTGTGTGTGTATCACATTTTCCTTATCTAGTCTACTGATTTATATTCCTTTGGGTATATACCCAATAATGGGATTGCTGGATCAAATGGTAATTCTGTTTTAAGTTATTTGAGAAATCACCAAACTGATTTCCATAATGGCTGAACTAATTTACATTCCCACCAGCAGTGTATAAGTGTTCTCTTTTCTCCACAACCTTGCCAGCATCTGTTTGTTTGTTTTTTTTACTTTTTAATAATAGCCATCTGACTGGTGTGAGATGGTATCTCATTATGGATTTTATTTCCATTTCTGTAATGATTAGTAATGTTGGGCATTTTCTTATATGCTTGTTGTCCATTTGTATGTCTTCTTTTGAAAAGTGTCTGTTCATGTCCTGTGCCAACTTTTTAAATGTGGTTGTTTGTTTTTTGCTTGTTAATTTGTTTAAGTTCCTTAAAGATCCTGGATATTAGATCTTTGTTAGATGCATAGTTTGCAAATATTTTCTCCCATTTTGTAGGTTGTCTGTTTACTCTGTTGATAGTTTCTTTTGCTGTGAAGAAGCTCTTCAGTTTAATTGGTTCCAATTTGCCAATTTTTGTTTTTGTTGCAGTTGCTTTTGATTTCTTCATCATGAAATCTTTGCCAAGGCCTATGTCCAGGATAGTATTTCCTCTGTTATCTTCCAGGGTTTTTATAGTTTTCTGTTTTACATTTAAGTCTCTAATCCATCTTAAGTCAATTTTTAGATATGGTATAAGGAAGGGGTTTAGTTTCAGTCTTCTGCATATGGCTAGGCAGTTATCACAATTATTCCATTTTATAGGATAGGAAACAAGATTTTCTTGGCCACTGGATTGGTTCGTTCTCATGCTGCTGTGAAGAAATACCCAAGACTCGGTAGTTTACAAAGAAAAGAGGTTTAATTGACTCACCGTTCTGCATAGCTAGGGGGAGCCTCAGAAAATTTACAATCATGGCAGAAGGCACCTCTTCACAGGACAGCAGGAGAAAGAAAGAGTGCAAACAGGGGAAATACCATAGGTTTATAAAACTATCGTATCTCATGAGAATCACTCATTATCACCAGAACAGCATGGGAGAAACTGCTCCTATGATTCAATTACCTCCACCTGGTCCCACCTTGACCTATTGGGATTAGTACAATTCAAGGTGAGATTTGGGTGGGGACACAGAGCCAAACCATACCAGTAGCCCAGTATATCAAAATATTCAGAAAAATGGTATTGGGAGGGAGGTGTATTGTTGCCCCAGTATTTGGTTTCCAGGCAGCTATTAACATGAAGTACTGTCACATTCTTCAAACTTATCTAGTTCTGCCTCATTCTGAGTGATGAAGGTTTGATAAGGTGCAGTTACACTTAGTCTGTACCAACTTTCACCCTAAAGAGTATGAAGGAACTTGTTTGTCTATGTGTCTGTCACAGCATTAGTGACTTGCTTTAGAGAATCTTGTGAATCATGAATAGCTCCACTATCTATCCTTGCCTTGGGACTTTGCCATGCCCAGTGTTGATGACAGTCACTGAAATTCTGCCAGGTTGAATCATTCATTATTACCTTGTCTGCAGAAGAATTGCTGATCTTTTGCATATCATCATCTTATTCTTCTTTCATTTGAGATTATGGATATTTGTAAAATCTATTCAACATCTTTGATAAATCATTTTAGATAACTACATATTATTCCATTTCTTGAATATTTTTTCATTTCTTAATCAACCTTCTAATGTTGGTCATTTAGGTTGTTTACAATTTACAACTATAATATATTGCTGAAATAAGTTGCTTGTGTTATTTATTTAGGATAAAATCACAGAAATCAAATTACCACTCACATGGTAGGAACATTTGTAGGGAACTTAATACATGGTTTCAAATTGGAAAAGTTTTCTTAAGTTTATAAAATTAACATTACTCTATAAGATTCCTGACAGCAGAGATTTTATCTTTTTAAACTATCTTTTTCCTGACACCTCAAGTAGTTTCCTAACACCTAAAAAAGCCTGGTATATTGGTATAAATAAATATTTTTGTATGACTGATTTATGACTCTACTTTAGTTGTACTGATTAAGTTATTCCCAGATGAACCTAGAACCAAGCTATCAACAAAACATCAACTTTGTTTGTGTACCAAACTGTGAAGATAAGACAGGAGGAAATAAATCTGCTGTCTACCTTTTGTGTTTTTCAACCCTTCAGCAAAAGTAGGCTCTGGATATGTCTTCAAATGGAATCTTTGGTTTTGTAATCTTTTTTAAAAAATTGGTTGATTCTCAACTTTTGTAGGTGATGACGGTGACGGTAGTAGTAGAGGTGTGTGGGTGTGTGTCTGTGTGGGTGTTGTGTATGATGAGGATGTGGGCAGAGATTTCCCCTTCCCACTTATCAGTTTAAATTAGTATCTAATCACTTAGGCTTTGGATATTTTTGTGATTTCTTCAATTACTACTGAACTGAAAGGACATAGTTGCTGTTAGAGTTTGCAACCTGGGCTTTGATCTAGATATACACTTATAATGAATCTCTGTGACCTTTTAAAAAAGATGTATTTGTTTTGCTCAAATTGCGTATGGAATTGTGAATTGGAATGGTACTTAATCTTTTCGGTTGCAAACCTTTCTCAAGACATCCCAAGTGCTGAACACTAGATGGCATGGTAGAGTTATCATACTATTCTTGGAAGAGAAAGTCCACTCCAAAGCATGGAAATTTTCTGCCTTGGCAAAAATAAACAACTGAAGTAACAAAATATAGCTTGCTATAGGAACAAGCATGACTTATCTTCACACTTTTAAAAACTATTAACTGAGTATATATTACACTCCCCTTTTCTAAGTTATAAGAGTAATAATGCTTGTCAAAACAAACCTTAAATATAGAAATAAATAAAAGTGGAAAATGACTTATAACCTCATTAACCAGAAATATCCACTGTTAACCTTTTGATAAATTTTCTTGAGATTTCGAGACTCCTTGATGCATATGTAAACATTTATAGATACATAGATATAGAAAGATGTTTGGAAAATGCCATTTTATAATATGCATATTTATAGAGAAATATAGATAGATATTTGGAAAATGCCATTTTGTAAAATGCATTCTATCAAATAAATGAAAGACATTTTTCATGTCACTATATGTAAAGTATCACAAAAATAGTTATAGTTGCAGTGTTTTACATAGAATATATTTATCATGGCCAGGAGCAGTGGCTCACACTTGTAATAGCAAGAAAGTGCAAGACCCTGTCTCTACAAAATCATAGTCCTAATTACTCAGGAGGCTGACATGGGAGGATCACTTGAGCCTGGGAGGTCAAGGCTGCAGTTGAGCTATGACTGTGCCACTGCACTCGAGCCCCAGCCTGGGTAAGAGAGTGAGACCCTGTCTCAATAAAAAAAAAAAAAAAAAAAGAATATATTTATCATAATTATTTATTTAGCCAATTTATCATTGTAACTTCAGGTTGTTTTAGAATTTTTGCTATTATAACATTGCTGAAATTAGCATCCTTATTCTTAATACTCTATACTTTTCCAATTATTTCCTCAGATTAAATTTCTAGGTAAAGTGTTATACGTATTTAGATTTGACTTACCTTATCTTATAAAAGTGACCCCAAAGAGTTCACTTGCCATTTACACCATGCAAGTACACAATGTGAAGATGGCCATCTGACCTCTATTGTCAGATTGTCCACCAAAATTATTAAATCAATTTATTTCTATTACTGCCTAAAGTACTTGAGAATCCCGTTTTCTCAACATTTTTGCCAACATTGGGTATTTTTATTTTTTTGAGTGTTTTTCAGTATGAGGCTTCAACAATTAATATTGCGTTGTTTTATTTTGCAGGCTAAAAATTATTAGTGAGGTTACACATTTTTTTTCTTTTACCACTTATATTTCTTTCTTGTTGAAACATATGCTTGTATGATCTGGTGACTACTCCTTTAGGATGTTTGTCTTTTTCAATAGATTGTTAAAAGGTTATTTTATATTTGAGACACTGACTCTTCATGTTTTATGTGTTGCCAATTTTTGATCAGTGTGTAGTTTTCTTTTCCTTGCTAATAATATTTCTGTTGTTTCACTTGTGTGCATTTGGGTGTGACTTGCAGAAGTTTGACATTTTTAGAGCATCAACGCTATTAATCTTTTCTTTGGTGCTTTTTGTTTTTGATGCTGTGCTTACATACCATATCAAGACTGTAAAAGAATTTGGCTCTGAGTAAGAGACATATGTGTTCTTTATAGAGTAAAATACTGTAACAAAAGTTATAGTTATAATGTGTTTATTTTTGTCAGCCAATTATAAATTTGTCATATATTAACATATTTAAATCTTCCTAAATTCACATATTTTCACTATATAACCTGCTTAGTTTATTGTCTTTGGTATTGGAAAATGCTGTACACAACATATTGTACTTCCAACCTCCGGTTAGGACTGAAAATTTTAAAATCTCTTCTCTGCTATTGTCTTCCCTACACAGAAGCCCTTAAAATTACAACTAAAAGGTCTACCTCTAACCAAAGTCTCTAATTATTGACTTCCTTTTTGTTTACACTGCTTCCCTCATGCTTTTTAAAATAAATTTCTGTTCAAGTTGAAGCCTAGGCTGCCCTTCACTCCCCCTCAGGTTAATAATACTTTTGAATATAAGAATCAAACTTTGTTGATACCACAGTAATGTTCTAGTGGGTAAGACCTAAAGGTTTTTTGTTTTTGTTTTTACCTTATCTTAAAAGATATCTAGACTAATTTGAGTGAGAAACATATTGAAAAACTTTTTGCTATGGATTGAATGTTTGTGTCCCCCTACCCCAAATTCATATGTTGAAATTTAATTCCAAATGTGGTGATATTTGGAGCTGGGAATTTTAGGAGGTGATTAGGTCATGAGAGATGGAGCCTTTATGAATGGGATTACTGATTTCAAAAAAGAGACCCCAGAGAGTTCACTTGCCCCTTCTACCATGTGATGACACAACGAGAATATAACCATCAGTGAACCAGGTACCACGTCTGCTAGCACCTTAAACTAAGATTTCCCAGCCTCCAGAACAATGAGAAACAAACATCTATTGTTTTAAAGTCACCCAGTCTATGATATTTTGTTATAGCAGCCCAAGTGGACTAAGACACTCTTCAAAGAGAAAGTGTATCATTCTTATAGTCCTGTATTAAAGGAAATGGCCCTGGGTAGTTTCTCAAGGATTTGTTCATTCATCTATCCATTCAAAATATATTCTTTAGCACTTACTAGGTGCCAGGCTCTGGGGATATGATGGTAAATAACAATAGATATGATCTTACTTAATATGAATATTAGAGTGTGGGGATATGTGAGAAAACATAAAAAATGTAACAATCACATCATTAATGTAGCCTTTCAAAGACAGAAATATGGACCTATGAGACTGTATAGCAAAGGATCCTGACATGGACAGGAATCAGGAAAAGCAGAGTCCTGAAGATTGGATAGAAGTTATCCAGATGAAGAGACACCATCTAGCTGTTCATGCAAGAGATTATTTCATTAAAAGGACTTGTAGCAGGAAAGTTCTTGGCATACTCAAGGGTCTGAAATGAGGCTGATGTGATTGGAACAAAGAAACATTATGCAGAACGAAGGTAGGGAGATAGACAGAGGCTAGACTAGACACGCAGAGCCACATTAAAGATGCTATTCACAATTCCAAGAGTGATAGGAAATCATGGAAGGGTTTTAAGTGGGAAGGTGGGGAGGTGACCTGATAGGAGCTCTTTTGTAAAGCTCACTGTGACTGTGGTATTGGGAATCAACTGAAAGGGGGCCAGAGTAGATGACAGGGAACAATGTGAGGGGCCCTGTAGTGGTCCAAGAGAGTGATGGTGGTACTGCGAACTATATGGTGGTGGCTGCAAAGAACATGAGATGTAGATGGATTTTAGAGGCATTGAGAAAGTGAGATTGATGGAGCCAGGAGGTAGATTGAAAATAGGTTTGAGGCAGAAGGATATGTCAAGGATGGTTCCTTGAGGCTTTTGTAACTAAATGGACAGTGATGCACAGATAAGTTAGAGGCAGAATAGCATAGGTTAAGTCCAGAATATATTGCATTCGAGATGCCTTGGAGACATAAAAGTGGAAATGTCAAGTTGGCAATTAGATATCATCTCTGGAATTCAAATGAGAGATTGAGGCAAGTGATATACATTTGGAAATCATTGACCCATGTGTGTGAACTGAAGTGATGGGCATGGTAGAGATTACATAAGGAGAAAGATAGTAGGAAAAGAGAAAAAGGCCTAAGCCTCAACCTCAAGGATATCCAACATTTAATGACTACACAAAGGAGTATCTGGAGAGGTGGTAGGACATCTAGGAGAGTGTGGTGTCCCCGTATCATGGGTAACCACATTCTATTTGCTGTGATCGCATGACCTTGATCATAGATACTGGATGAAGGGTAAGCATTTGAACTAAGTACAGCTAGTCTGCAGGCTAACCAGAAGCACATGAGGCTTTCCAACACAGATAATCTCCCAGCAGGGCTGTCTACTGGATAATGGGTGAATGAACAAATTAGATCCTCTGCCTTGGAGATGTTGGATGCCAGACCCACAAATGGAGGGCATCCCTGATAGGAAGAGCAGAAGCCAGTGACTTACAGAAAGGAGCAGAGGCAGAGGGTAGCTGTGTTACAATCATGGCAGAGTACGAAAGAAGGAGTCCCTGCTGCCCAGGGGGAGCAGACAACCCAGTGTCTAGAGTTACGTTGAGTTGTAAACAAGCTTCTAGTATCTGACTTATATTTCACTCCATGCAAAGCCAAACTGCATGGCTATTTATAAGTTTTTGTAAGCAGAAGCTACTTAGTGATCCATCTCATAATTTTTATTTCCACATGTATTTTATAAGAAAACTTACTGCGGGGGAACCTAAGTCTGTTTCTTACAATTTAAACTGTTACCTCACCCTCCTTCTTCAGGTCCTCCCATGCACTTTTACTTTTCATTCTTGTTCTCACATGAACTTTATCCCCTTGCCCTCTACCAGCTTCACTTTGATTATGTCCTCACGTATTATGTGGATTCTTTTAAGTATAAACTCCTCTTTTAAGTATAAACCATTACCCACTAATGCAGCTCTGAAGTGGTTTTGCATTAAAAAAAATCGTGGTCTGACATAAACTTAGAGAGTGAAATAGTGAAATGGAGCCTCAGAAGTGTGAGGGAGTGGGATGGGGCTGGATGATGAGAAATTACTAATGGATACAACATGCCTTATTTGGATGATGGATACTCTAAGAACTCTGACTTGACTACTTTGCAATCTATGCATGTAACAAAATTGCACTTACAGCCCATACATTTATACAAATAAAAAATAAATAAAGATGTTCTTCCTCAACTAAAAAAAATGGTCTGAAAAGGAATTTCAATTTTTTCTCTTTAGTGGGGTCGAAGCACTTTGTCCACACCAACTCCTGTCAAACTTTCTTCCCCATTGGATTCTCTAGCATGTCTAACCTCAGGATGGGTCTCACTGTCTTAATTTTAACAGACAGTGGCAGCACCAAGAGGTGACTAGAGGGGACTTTGGTTAAAGTGATCAAACGTCCAGGGCTTTGTACCTGTTGGTTCATCATAATAATTAATGTCACCTCTTTCCATTTGCAAAAGCGCCTTAGCTTGGGCTGTAAACTTTGTGGTCACTCTCGCTTACTCCCCCTCTCCTCTCTCCTGATCCCAATTTCCATCAACCTTCCCCAAAAGTAAACATATAATCTAAGCTCTCTTCTTGTATGATGGCCCCACATTTTCTTTGCTCACATTAAAGTCCCTTAAGTGAGTATAATTCTTCTCTGATGACTTGTCCTTGCTTTCCTCAGAGATCAGAGGAAAGAAAAGGAGGAAAGCTGTGAATCCCCACAAATTAAAAACTTTATCTTGTCACATTCCTCTTATCCTCTACATTTTTATCTTCCCATCTCTTCCTATCCTTCCTAAAGCTTGGCAGCTCATTACTGTCATTAGAGAGAAAGCCCCTTCCTCAATGACTAGAGTATGCCTCTCTCATTCTTCCCTGGATTTATTATGTGCAGGCATCAGTATGGCTGTGGGTGAAAGCAAAGGTTCTGGAGTCAGCCTGGGTGTGAATCCTGGTCCCACCATTTATGAACTCTGTGCCATTGGGCAAAATACTTCCACTCTCAGGATCTCCCTTTCTGCACCAGTACAGTGAGTATAAGGAGAGTATATGCCTTACAGGACTGTGAAGCTTAAACATGATGATACATATAAAGCACTTTGTTTCTGGCAGGTTTCAAATGCTAATTATATGTTGGATATTAGTATTATTATCCATTTCCATGCTAGAGGTTCATCCTCTTTTAAAACCACCATCTTCAAATTAGCACTGATGTCACCTGCCCTCGTTTAGCATCCTCCTATTTGGCCTTTCCCTGAAGACTTGAACACATGCATATTGTTTTTCTCATTCCCAGGGACTTTTCTGAACCTAGTCTCCATCCCCTGAGCACCTTGACTTCATGATCCTATGCCCATTGAGACTTCTTTCACCTTCATGTCTTTGCCACACCAGGTAAGAGAATTAATATTCTCAAATATACAAAGCAAGGCTGTGACTCAGTTCACTGGTCATAGTCTCCTCTCCTCTTTCATTTATCAGCAACCCCATGGCTAAGTTGTAGATCCAGGATGAAAATCTAGGTCTTTCTGATTAAAAATTCATGATTTAGCTCTTATGTTTTACTATATTTTCAATCACAATCGACTATTAGTCTCTTCTCTTACAATTTTGTGTTGAATCAGTCTTTCCTCCTGCCCTGAGTCAGATTTCTTTTTTTAATGGGATCTCACTCTGTCACCAGGCTAGAGTGCAGTGGCATGATCATGGCTCACTGTAGGCTCGACCTCCCAGGCTCAGGTGATCCTCCCACTTCAGCCTCCTGAGTAGCTAGGACTACAGGCGTGCACCACCACACCCAGCTAATTTTTGTAGATTTGTAGAGACTGGGTCTTGCTATGCTGCCCAGGCTGGTCTCAAACTCCTGGGCTCAAGTGACCCGCTGCCTCAGCCTCTAAAAATGTTAGAATTATAGGCGTGAGCCACCACGCCTGGCCAGGTCAGAGCTTTGGTACAAATGGAAAGTGGGCTTGTCTTTGCCCCCTTCAGGTGTATCTCTTTAGAGCCTCAATACTAGTTAGTTGCTTGGCATTCCTAAGGGAATATATAGGGAAAGAGGAATAATAGAGGTATGGTTGGCCACTGGATCAGAGCAATTTCTTCTGCATCAAGTGATACTAATTCAGATATTTTCTTGCATGGTGGATATTTCATATCCCCATCTTCCCAAAAGAAGGAATTACCTTCCCTTAGGAGGAGAACCATCTTGAGAATGATCTAGAAGAAAAAATAAAATGGGCTGATGAAAATTATTTTGGGAACAACTTTTAATTATTAGGTTACGTAAGACAGGAAGCTCATTATGACTATAACTATAAACTTTATACTGGATTCTATGCGTAAAATTGGCAAAAGTTCCAATGTATTGCCAATCACTAACTTGAAGATAAGAGCGACTGGAAACACTTTGTTTCTCAAATTTAAGCAGAATCAAACTGATGAAGCTCTGCACCACAGAGACCATGACTTTCTTCTTACTCTGTTGTTCCATTCTGGATGGGCCAATGATAGACCTTCACTTGGTCATTTTATAACCATGTGTGACACAAGGAGCCTGTTAACCTGGTTATGAAGCATCAGCCCAGGAAACAGATGTTTTATTTAGAAAGTCTGTCACTAATAACAAAATGAATATTTTTATTTTTTTAATTGAGTCTTTTAAAACTAAATGAACTGGGCATAAATACTTCTCCTTTTCAAAAGTGTTTCAAAACTTCCCCAGTACTTACTTAGTATAACAGGCTCTACTTCCCAAGATTTGGTTCCTTTAAAATAGTCCTGACCGAAAGTCATCTGTTTAGTTTCTTGTTTATTTTTCAAAATATTCTTATATTAAAAATGAAAATAAAAAGTTCATAATTACCGATATTTTGAATGTTTTATATTGTTTAAATAAATATTAATTAGTCTTCTTTTTGATGTTGCATTAACTTATTAATTATGTGGCCTTCTAAGTGAGAGTTCTCATTGATTATAGTAATGTATGTTTGTATGTTTTATTTATAATAAGGGTTGGGGGCTGTTAGACTCTGATCTCAAAATACCTAAATTTGAGTCCTACTATTGCCACTTAATAACTCTGACTTTGGCAGCTTATTCAATGGCTTTAAGCCTCAGTTTTCTTTTCTGTAAAATAAAGAAACTAATATTTCCTACTCTGTAAGATTCTTGCGTGTATTCAAGAGTAAACTGCATATGAAGCCTACTACCTAGCATAACAGCCCAATAAACCTCAGAAATAATTGCTATTTTGGCTGTAGAACAGCAACAGTTTAGCACATGCGAAAACCTATATTGCCCTAAGGGCTTCTGATCATGATTCTTTCATCATTTAATGTAAAATAAGCCAGATTAAAAAAAATTAGATGCCCACAGTAGAGAAAAAAAGTAGGAAAGTGTCTTATCCCATTGATGGCATAAGAAAAGTCAGACACAAAGTTTCTGTCTGAAAGTCAAATTTGGCACCCCAGGATAACACAATGAGTTCTTTCAGACATTCAGTTTTTTGGACTTGAGCAGTTTGCAGAGTTGGCTCATTATAGGCAGATGGTTTTATTGTCAGATTGCAATGATTAAGTAATAAGGGAAATCTTATTTTAAAATATCAGTCTTTGTAGAGTTAGTCCTTAGAGACTGCAGTTGTCATAAAACATCTGAATGGAAAAGTTATATCAGAGGAAAACATAAGCAGTTTTCTCATAAAAGTTGACTCCATCCTCTTTCTGCCTCCCTAAGTTACTTTGTTATAGAGCAACAGCTCAAAGGACTGTCATTTTTGCTTCTTCACTAGTAGAAGAGAGAAAGTAAAATGCAAAGACAAGCCAATTGCTATGGAAAACCAATAAAGTAGCCAAAATTTCAGATAACAATCTTTTTTCTTTTGAAATGCTTTGTAATAATTTGTTTGCTTTATTTCAATGCAAAAGTTTCCTACATTACACATCTAAACCATTTAAAATATAAATGATTGACTTCAAATGAATGCATAGAGTTTTCCCCCCACATTTTTTACTTTAATGACATAATTAACATACTGCTTATTATCAAAGATGATGCTACCTGGAAAGTCTCAACAATGAATGTATCACAACCAGAAAAGTTTGTATATGATTAATTTATATTTTATTATTTATTTATTTATTTTTGAGACAGGATCTTGCTCTATTGCCAAGGCTGGAGTACAGTGGCGTGGTCTCGGCTCACTGCAACCTCTGTTTCCCGGGCTCAAGGGATCCTCCCACCTCAGCCTCCTGAGTAGCTGGGACTACAGGCAGCTGCCAGCATACCTGGCTTGTTTTTTGTACTTTTTGTAGGGACAGGTTTTGCCATGCTGCCCAGGCTGACCTTGAACTCCTGGACTCAAGGAATTTACCTGCCTTGGCCTCCCAAAATGCTGGGATTACAGGCATATGTCACCATACTTGGCCTCATGTGATGGATTTATATTATTGGCACCACTGAATTACACTCCTCTCTCACACAGCCCTTTGTTGGAGAGCTTCTCTGTTTAACAGTTCATCTATTTCTCAGCTACAGCTGGCTGGAAATTCTAAGAGAGGGGATAGCTGGATGGGAGGAGGAAATGCGTTTCTCATCCTCAGCAATATGGAGACTACCCTCTTTACTTCTATCTGTGGTAGAATTCTGTATATATATATTCTATATATATTCTATATCTTCTATATATATCTATATATATTGAATATTATATTATATATTCAATATATATATCTATATCAGATATATCTATATTGAATATATCTATATATATATTCAATATCTTCTCTCATAGCCCTCATTTTGTCTGTTGCGCTGTGGAAGGGGAGGTAGATAGATTCATGTGGAAAAATTAAAGTCACACTGGCATTTATTACGTGGGAACTGACTCACTTCAATAGACTCACCAGAATTCTCAATTGTGAAGAATGTGGACTTTGAATTATTTTACAGACTAGATGTGTGACCTTTGGATGAACCACATAAGTCGTCGCAAAGCTAATAAGGATTGAATTTAGGATTAGATCTCAAGTTGAATGATAGTATTTATGAAATTGAAAAATTCATACTAAATACATACATGCATAATACTAAATACATACATCTGTCTGTGGGTAGACAGATTAGACACCATCGATGATTATGCTGAAAAGGCATGCAGAAAAAAATCATAGTGTCTAAAATTTCTACTATTTTCATTCTTTTTAAAAATTAAGATATCGTAAACCTTAGTGATAACTGTAGTGTATGTGTGGTAACTAGCTAAATACTTTTCTCCTTTTCCTTGGTTCTCATTTACTGTTCAACCCACTATGACTTGGCAGTTTTCTTAATCATTCTATTGAAAATATTGCTATGCAACAACATGTCCTAATTGCCCAAGTCCTCTCATTGTTTTCTACTTTCATCTTGTTTGACTTTTTAGCAGCATTTGACTCTCTTTTTCAGTCCTTTTTTGGAAGTCTTTCTGGATTTTCATGACATTACCCCCACCTGGTTTTTCTCTTATCTCTGTCTTATCTTTCCAAGCCGGCTTCCACATCTGAATTTCTCTTCCCATCCTTAAATTATTGATTGGCATTTCATACTAGTTCCTCTGTCATCTGTCTCTTTATACTTCCCCTCACTGGTTACATTCAAACCTACAGCTGCAACTGTCATTAGTTACACTACTGGATCTCAAGTCTCTCTTCTGCACACAACTTTTTCCTAAGATCTGGTTCCTTGTGTCCCCCATCTTCTTGGACACATCCACCTCAATGCACCACAGGCATTTCAAATTTGATGAGCCCAAAATGAAAATCATTTCTCTTCTCTCAACTCAACTTGCTCATCGTCCACCATTCTCTATTATCTACCAAATTTCTAAATCAAGAAAACCCTTCACCTCCACATTATATCCATTCCTTTAATGGAGTAATGTATCAGAAATTTTTGACTGCATGGCCAAAAGCCATTCCTAATTTTTTTCTTGATAAATAATCCCTAGAATTTGTTTGGAGGAGCCATGTGTCTAGTTCAAAAGAAAGAGCTATGAATTGGTTATTTTAGTCTTGGCAATCCCATCCATTTCTGCCACATACTCATTTATCTATATTCTTCTGCACCGCGTGGCCATTTGACTCATTTTTTGGCCTATGAAACGTAATGGAATGTCACCTGCGTGACCTCTTAAAGAGCTTTTTCCCCTTGATAAAATTGGGTGAAATTACACTTTGTCCTTGTCCCCTTTCTTCCTCTTTGGGATACTGTCTTGTGAGATAATGATGCTTGGACTATGGCAGCTATCTTGCTACTATGAGCAAAAAGCCTCAGAATGAAAGCCAATATGATAAGGATGCTGGTATAGAGGAACCAAGTGCAATGTGTGAGCTGAGGGTGGAGTACCCAAATGAAAAACTCTAGAAAACTGCTGGCAGCATGAGAGTATCCAAATAATTGAGAAAAATTAAAAAGTCAAAAAATTAAAATTTTCCAGCCTTGGTAGTTATGTTCAATGTTATGCACCAAAATGTAAGAAAAACAGAAAACTCGGTGGTGAACAATAGAGATAAAAATATGGCTGGAAAGGAAAGCCTACCATAATATTAAAAGATTTGTGATTATTTAATACATGATAAAATCTTAAAATTTTATTTATATAGTTAAAAAGAAGTCTATTATGGATAGGCAATTGATCAGTTCTGAATATATATTTTTAGAGTGATGTAATACAAGCTGAGCTTCACATGTCCAGAGCCCCATTTTGCTAATCTAAGTCAGTTGTCTGTTCCTCTTACATACTTTCTCCTCTGAAATTCTGTTATAGTTCAATATGCCATTTTTCAATGAGATCCCCAGACTGTGTACCTCAAACCTGCAAAAGTCAGGTTTAGTAATGGCCTCTCCTCCTGCTAACATCTGCATTATGTAATAGTATTAATTGTAACTTTTAAAGGTAATAGAAAGTTTTAAGTCACTCTCTTTTTAGTTTGGCTAGTTTATTATTGAGTATATTTAAGTGGAGATTCTTCCTTGACTTAAAATCTCAGGAGGACCCAAGGAAAAACAGAAAAGATAAGAAGTCAAGTTCATAGAATGAAACTGAGGTTAGCACCTAAGATACTAAAGTGACTTGCTAATTGGCATATCTACTCAAAGCAACTTTTGAGAGACTCATTAGGCTGCAGGTCACACTGAAATGGGAGGATTAAGGACCATAGACCTCAGCTAAACTTTGTACAGATCCATTTTTAAAGACTCAGAAAGGACTGATATTATTGGCTAAATCAGCATATATTTCAACCTTATCAGAATACCTTGACAGAATGAGGAGGGCACAATAAATGTGATGAAAATAATCAGTGATCTCTCAGGATCTAAAAAAAAGCCCAAATTTATCAAACAATAAGTATTCTCTGATGGTGTATAGTGTATGCCTTTGAGGTCGCATTTGCTGGGGGCAAAGAACTATCAATGGCTCCTCATTGTCAAAGCAGGAACATCAAAACCTGGCAGATGTGCTATCACTCGCCTCTCTTGCCTCTGATCCAGTTGAGTCTAAATGCCACCCCAGACTCCTTAACTCAGACCTTCAGGCAGCCACAACCACTGGACTAGAATTGGCAAAATCATTGGCTTACAAGGTGGAATCCCAGCTTTTAGACATAGCAAGAGGGACTTTCCTATTCTTTATTCTTACACTTGCTACTCCATGTCTTGTAACATCAAGCTCCATCAATAATGAGTTACTTGAGATTCTCCCAAACATTGAGCTGTTTCTTGTGCTTTTGCTCAAGTTGTCTGCTTTGCCTGAAATGTCCTCCTGACTCTCCCAAGTCTTTACCTGATTATCTCCTGCTCATTCAGTCTCATGTTTTCATGAGGATGGAATTCCTAGAGTCATACCCTAGAAGCTCCTTTTGAGATGTTTTTGGAAATCTGTTAGGGTATTAAATGAAGGTTTAGAATTGGCTACCTTTGTCACAAAACATCTCTGTTTAGGTCCTATGACTCATAAAGTTGTTCAAGAGTTATTACAAGTAGTTGTGTTTACTGCACAACTACTATAACTTTCCTTCTTCCCAGGAATCAGACCTAGTCTAGGCTCTGGCCTAGGGAACAAATGCCATCCTGCTCTCTTCATTGCTCCACTTTCCCCTATGCCATAAACCTATGCACACATAAAATTTTATCCTCTGGGTCCTGTTATCCTTCCCCTACTTCTCTAAAAAGGACAACTCTCAGTGAAACCACTAGTTCCTCACAAACAGGCAAACTCTAAATCCCAATTAGGCCCAGCTGGAGCTCTGAGACTATTGAAAACATCTGTCATAAGGAAATTAACTCATTCTCTAAGATTTATAACAGGCTCCTCCTTGCCTTTAGGAACCTGGGAAGGAGTGAAAGAGATGCAAAAGTAAAAAAAAAATGTTTTGTATGTGAGTTGGGGTCAGGGGTAGAGCATGATAGGAACAGATGATAAGATGGGGAAAGAAGGAGACTTAAACATTAACTCAAAGTGAAGCTCAACCAAGAACCTTTAAAGGTTCATTACTGTTTATCACAGTGCTTTTTTGGTACTTTTTGAATTCAGAATGTGTATCCAAGACTGCACAAACAACAGGGAAAGGAGTCAACAGAAAGAGCAAACATATCCTTCTTAAAGGACGTGATATTCTTGAAGACCAGATCTATACAAATGAAACAATTAAAAGAACTCAAAACAACATAGGAACAAGTATTGTCGTCTGTGGCTTTGAGAACCCCTATACTTTATTGGCTCATTTTTTGCTTTGTTGGGAGGGGTGGTGAGAAGATGACAATATCTAGATCTGCAGGGCAGGCATCATATCAACTCTTCCAGCACTAAGGAGAACAAAAACCCAACCAATACTACTGATTTTAAGTATTAAGTACACAACCATAATTAATCCTACTGAGAAATATTATGTGACAAGAGGCAAATATGTTTTTTCTCATTGTCCTTGAGCTATAAAATTGAAGGCTACCTTAGCTGCATTATTGGAGAAAGGCTTTCAAGGACTTCTGAAAACATCTGTCCTCCTCTCAGCATTTTTTGTTTCTTTAGGCAGAAGAGCATGCTCTCAGTAGAGCTGAAAACTGGCATGAGCTAGAGAGAGATTCAAGCTACTGTAGGGGGCTAAGTAATTGCCCTTGTTATTCAAACGCTACTCATCAGTTTTTGCACCTCTGTGTGGACAACAAATTGATGTGAACAGGCTCCAGGTCCCAAGCTGGAAATGTTTCCAGGAGGAATAATTCAATGAACTGAGAAGATACACGTTGCATTTTTCATGAACTGCTCTCGGTTCCTGGAAATGTCAGTTATATAATTATAGTATATTATGTCACTCCTCAGCACCATTACTTGGATAGAACAGAAGTATTTTAGTTCAGCCATCGTACTGTGTAACTATCTGCCTAGAAACACACAATTATATCACAAACCTTAATGTATTCCAAACTGAGCAACTGTTCTCTCTCTAAAATCTTTCTATATCCAGTTTTGTCCTGGTGAATGACACTTGCTTAAGTCAAAAACGTGAATATTATCTCTTATTCCTCATAGTCTGACAGTTTTGCTATGTAGTGTCTCTCAAACCCATCCACTTCTCTCCATCCTCACTGTCACTACCCTAGTTAACCTTAATCGCTACTGGATTAATGCAACAGCCCCAGGCAAATTTCATGTCTCTGGTGTTTGATACATCTGATCCAATCCATTCTTCACACTGAATCATTCTAAAACATATTAACTTGCTTAAAATCCTTTTAATGACACTTTTAAAATATGTCATTAAAATTCACTTTTTACTTATTGTACAGTTCTGTGAGTTTTAGCAAATCCATAGAGTTTTGTAACTACTACCGCCGCAATCAGGATATAGAACAGTTAGCTTCACCTTCAAAAAATTCCCTCATGCTGCTGCTTTGTAGTCAGAACCTTTCCCCAACCCTAACCCTAGATAACCACTAATCTGTTCTCCATCTTTATAGTTTTGCTTTTCTAGAAGGCCATATAAATGGAATGATATAATATATAACATTTTGCTCTGGCTTTCACTAATCACAGTGTATGTGAGATTCATTCATATTGCTGAACGTATTGATAGTTCATTCCTTTTTATTACTGAGTAGTATTCCATTGCATGCATGTTCCTATGGTTTATACATTCATGTACTGAAGGACATTTGGGTTATTTCCTAGTGGGAGTAGTTATGAATACTATTATTATAAGTATTTGCATAAGAGTTTTTATGTTTAATATAAGCTTTTATTTCTCTAGGATAAATATCTAGGAGTGGGATTATTGGGCCATGTGGCAAGTATAGATAAATGCCAAACTCTTCTCCAAGTGGCTGTACCATTTTTGCCTCCCACCGTAATGTATAAGAGCTCAAACTGATCCACATCTTAACCAATACTTGATATTGCCAGGTTTTTTGTTTTTGTTTTTGCTTGTTTGAGATGGACTTTCACTCTTGTTCCCAAGGCTTGGATGCAATGGCGTGATCTCGGCTCACCACAACCTCCACCTCCTGAGTTCAAGTGATTCTGCCTCAGCCTCCTTAGTATCTGGGATTATAGGCATGCACCACTATGCCCAGATAATTTTGTGTTTTTGTAGAGACGGGTTTCTCCATGTTGGTCAGGCTGGTCTGAACTCTCGACCACAGGTGATCCACCTGCCTTGGCCTCCCAAAGTGCTGGGATTATAGGTGTGAGGCTCTGCACCCAGCCTGACAGGTTTTTTTAAATTGATGGTGTTCACTCTTCAAAATAAAACTTAAATATGGTGATATAAACTCAACTATTATTAATACATCTTATGTTAGATGATAAGGGAATAAGAGAGGAAGAAAACAAAATATTTGCTTCATATATATACAGATACATACATGAATACATATATATGTAATATACATACAAACATATTTATAAGAAAATAAGGAAGAAATACAACAATTACAGTCCTCATCTCTGTAAGTAGACACATGGTTATAGCTGTCATTTGTAACTATCTTCTGCTAGTATACATGCCATATTTCCTTTGTTCTCAGTAATCAGTTCAACTGGTCATGGTTCTTTGCCTGGTAGGCAGAAAACACAACCAAGTAAAATCCCATTATTTTTGAAGAGTCTGGGCCATTAGCAGTACTAACTGAATTGTGATGTTGTGGTTTTGCATTGGCTTTAATCAAAGAACAGGGTAGTACTAAGAGACACCCTAAAAGATCTCCTATGTTTAAGACATACTCTTCCTTGCCTCCCTTGTGTAGCAGCAGTCCAATTTCCCCTTGGTAACCAGGACTGATTACCCCATCCTACACAGTAGCTCCCTTCCTTGCCTGTTAATTAAGAGGCAGGAGGAGCCCAAGGTGACTAGTTAAGATGATCATCTTAACTTCTGTTTCAGTGAAATTATTGTTGTGTTTCCTAGTAAAAATATTTCTCCCATTGGAGCTAATACATCTATACCAGCAGAACATAAGGTTGCAGGGACAGGAAGCAACCATTGTGCTAGTATATCACCAGGGATAATATGAGTTGTGCCATTTCTACCCATTGATTCTTGGGACCCAAGAATCCTGGCCATGGGAGAAACCGTATCATATATTGGATGCTGATTCAGAGCATAGATAGCCTCTTGGAGGTATTGTCACATAATTGGCACTGAAATTGAGGCTTCAAAAAGTATTCCACTATTTTTTTTTTTTTTGAGACGGAATCTTGCTCTGTTGCCCAGGCTAGAGTACAGTGGCATGATCTCGGCTCACTGCAAGCTCGGCCTCCCAGGTTCACACCATTCTCCTGCCTCAGCCTCCTGAGTAGCTGGGACTACAGGCGCCCGCTACCATGCCTGGCTAATTTTTTTTTTGTATTTTTAGTAGAGACGGGGTTTCACCGTGTTAGCCAGGATGGTCTCGATCTCCTGACCTTGTGATCTGCCCGCCTTGGCCTTCCAAAGTGCTGGGATTACAGGTGTGAGCCACCGCGTGTGGCCTAAGTATTCCACTATTCTATCAGGCTAGCTGCTTCAGGATGGTGGAGAACCTGGTGAAACCAGTGAATCCTATAGGCCTGGGCCCATTGCTGCACTTCATTAGCTGTGAAGTGATTTCCTTGATCAGAAGCAATGCTATGTGAAATACTATGATAATGGATAAAGTTATGGATGGTAGTTTTGGAAGAAGCAGAGAAGGCAAATACAACTCCAGATAAAATGTTTATTCCAGTGAGAACAAAACACTGCCCTTTCCATAAAATAAATGCTCCAGTATAATCCACTTGCCATCAGGAAGCTGGCTGATCAACCTAGGGAATGGTACCACATTGAGGACTCAGTGTGGATTTCTGCCACTGGCAGATCGGGCACTCAGCACTAGAGTAGCCAGATCGGCCTTGGCAAGTGCAAGTAACGGAAACTCGGCTCCAATTGAGCAAGGTAAGGATACTGGGCTACTGTGTGGGTCAGAGGATGGAAATATGACTGTCCCTCAGGAGTCAGAACCCCCGGAATCTCACCCTCACTGATCCCTTTGGATCAGCTTCATGTGGCCTCTCTTGCTGAGCAGTTCTTTATGAAGTTCTTTGCCCACAGTGTAGAACAAAGACATGCAACCCTTTCCTAGGTTTATGTTCCTCGGTTTCAGAAACCACCTAGACTGAGTTGGAATCTTTGACTCTGATCATAAATCTCTGGAGAAAAACTTTGGTCTCACTTTGGCTTGGTTCCACCCTCCCTTTCCCTGAACAATCAATTCTGGACAGCAAACTGGGCCATGTTTACCAATATGGATAGAGGGCAGGAAAAGGAAGCTTGAAGTGGTGAGGAGGAGAGCATGGGGTGTGGACATAGATCATTTTCAGAGAAAGAAGCTGGTGCATGGACAAAAAGGTCAATAGATTTTTCATGATGGAAAAGTCATGTGGTATTTTACTATGGTGAGTACAGGACCCCTTTTCTTACTTTAAAAATTTGATTTAAATGAGAGAGTGGACTTAAAGTGTTTGCACAGTGCCTAACTAAACGTATTATTATTGCTTGATTTGGCTCTGCCATCACAAGAGTACTAACTCACTATAAAACTGGTTAATGCTCACTTCATCTGTTTCAGATGGTGGTTTTGAGTTTTAAACAAAATCACATTTGATGGAAGCTAATCGAAAAATGGTACTAGATTAATCTTAATAAATGAAGGCACTAAGCACAGTAGTTCCACCTTAATGTCTCTTCTGTGCTCCAGCCTTGTACCTCCAAAGACCTCCTGGTTATGTCCACTGGGATACCTCAATGACATCTCAAAAGCGACATGTGCAAAACTCCTCTTACCTCCCTAATCTTCCCTTCTTAGTAACTGTCAACTTTTCCACACTCGCACTGTTGTTCAAATTTAATCCAGACAGTTGTCCTGATATCTCTGAGTATCTTAATCCCTGTATCCACATGATCATGAATTCCTATTGATCCAGCCTCTGATTTATATCTTGAGTTGGTGTAATTTTAATCTCTTCATTGGATTATTGAACAGTCTCCTGTGTGGTCTCCTTGTTTCCACCACTTTTCCCTCTCTAACCCATTTTCCATAGAGTAGCCAGGGTGATCTCATACATTTATTTATTAGGTAACAAGATTCCTGAAAGGTCTATCTGAAGGCAAATATTTTGCTACTTCATCCAACTGAAGGTCACAATAATTGTGAACTATCCTCAATCCTGAATTTATCTCCCAACAATTAGATTATATTTAAGCCTTTAGGAGAAGATGTGCCAATGGACACCTTTTCAAAATAAACATTTCTTATAAAATATTAACTAATCTTGCCTTACATTAAATTAAAATTAGTTGTCAACTAAATTGTTTTGGGTGAATAAGGTCCTAGTTTCAAGAACAATAAGAATGATTATAAAAGTGGCAATGTTTTATGTTTTATCAAACAACTATTAACCTATAACCATGAGACCATTTTTTGCCCTCAAGATATGTAGAAAAGTCCGTGTTTTGGATAGAATATATACACTGTAATTCATCTCATTCAAAACACATGAGTGTTCCAGATACAACTTTTTAGTCTCTTGAAAATTCAGGATTATGGATAGCTTATACGATCCTAATAAGATCAAATAGGGACAAAAACACTTGCTTTATAATACTAGAATTAAAATAATATTTAAAAAATGACATTATATTTCCCCACAAGACCCCAATTAATTACAAAGCAAAAATAGTAACTTTTTACTAGAGACACCTCACAATCATCACCTTAATACCTATCAGAGTAAACATCACCATTAATGGGGAAAATTGCATCAAATGCCTTCTAATATGATGCATTGAGAAAAACATGACATCCTTGAGTCTTGCCCATAGTGCAAAACTGAATCAAATCATGAAGAAATATCAGACAAGGCCAGATTGTCCACTTGTACTCTCAAAAATGTCAATGTCATAAAACACACAAAAAAAGACCAAGAAACAGTTCCAGGTTAAGAAAATATAAGCAAATACAATAATTGATGTGGGACTTTTTTTTCCTATAAGGATTTAACTGGGACAATTGGCAAAGTCTGAGTAAAGTTTTTTGTTTAGATAATGGTATTGCTTCAATATTAATTTTCTAGCTGTGAAAATTGTATTGTGGTTATCTAAGAATGCTCACCGTTTTAGGAAATGCACTGATGTATTTAGGCATGAAGGAATATCATGTTCACACTTAACCTCAGACTCGGGGAAAAGTGCATGTGTGTGTATATATATACACACACACATACATGTGTGTGTATATATATACACACACACATACATGTGTGTATATATATACACACACATACATGTGTGTATACATATATACACACACACATACATGTGTGTATATATATATACACACACACATACATGTGTGTATATATATATACACACACACATACATGTGTGTATACATACACACACACACAGAGAGAGAGAGAGAGAAAGTAAAAGCAAATATGGTAAAATGTTAACACTTGGCTAATCCGGGTAAAGGATTTAGGAATTTTTTGTACTATTCCTGCAATTTCACGTTAAATCTGAAGTTATTTCAAAATAAAAAAATTAAAGGAGAAATAGACTCTACATTTGTCCCTATATAAGAATATTTTAGGGACATAGCCTCTTTAAATTAATATTTTCCCACCTGCCAGATGATTATCCTCTTCCTCAGAAAAACATTCTTCTTTCTCCTATCCGTCTATGTTCAAATTCGATTTTTCTTTAGTTGCTAATGAGGTTGGTCCCTTCTACCCAATCTTCAAGGGAAGAAAGAGTAGTCTGTTTTGATAACTTCTACAGAACCAGATTTATATTTATACAGTCTAATATGATACATACAATAATTTGTCATATAACAATTTTGGTTTTTATATTTACAGAAAACCTGGACTCCATTTGATTTTCACATAGGGACTTGACATTGATTGTTAGTGAAAATTGTGTGTTCCTTGACAATATTATTATGCCTCCCGTATACATGGCATACAGGCCAGATGCTGGGGAGGGGAGAGTAAGGGTGGAGGTGCCCTTATGTTGTTTGCAGTTGCAGTTAGGAAAAAATGTGACACCTGTGTCAGAAGTTATATACCTATGTATGAATCAGGGTGGTCCCAAGGCAGATAATTAATTTACTGTTGAGTTATAGACAATAAATATTGATTAAATTGTTTTGCATCCAATACAAGTTAAGGAGGTATGTCAAGACCCAAATTATTTGGATGGGCAGAGGATGGCGGGAAAGAGTCTGGGCACATAGGCCAGACTAAGTTGCATTTGAACCTTGACTCCGCTCTTTACTGCTCTCATGATCCTAGGAATGCTCCTTAGGCTCTTCCAGCTCAGTTTCCTCATTTGTAAAAGGGAAAAATAATTTCTACCTTAAAGGGTGTTGAAAAGAGACAATGCTGGCAAATCACCTGATGTAAACAAGGCATTTATTCATTTAGTGATATAAGCTGAGTGCTCACAGCCTACAAGATTTCCATGGGCCTACCTAGAATAAATAAGTGTGTTAATAAAAATTATAAAATCCTTTTTGAAATTCAAAATTTGGATTTATTGAGAGTTGTATTTTGTTGGGGGGGGGGAGCGGGGGGTGGGGACAGAGTCTCGCTCTGTCTCCCAGGCCGGAGTGCAGTGGCGCGACCTCAGCTCACTGCAAGCTTTGCCTCCCGGGCTCATGCCATTCTCCTGCCTCAGCCTCCCAAGTAGCTAGGACCACAGGTGCCCGCCACCACGCCTGGCTAATTTTTTGTATTTTTAGTAGAGACGGGGTTTCACCATGTTAGCCAGGATGGTCTCGATCTCCTGAACTCATGATCCACCCACCTCGGCCTCCCAAAATGCTGGGATTACAGGTGTGAGCCACTGCGCCTGGCCAGAGTTGTATGTTTTACTGTCATTTTGTTTGTTTAATAGAGATGAGGTCTCACTATGTTGAGCAGGCTGGTCTTGAACTCCTGCCCTCAAGCAATCCTCCCACCTTAGCCTCCCAAAGTGTTGGGATTACAGGCATGAGCCATTGTGCCTGGCTAATATCTTTAATGTAATGAAGATTTGAACTCTCAAAGAGAAGCCTGCCTACTGCCTACTAATATTTTAAAACTACTCTACTTGTGGGTATTCAATAAAGTCTAATGGTTATAATTATTTTTAATTTTAAAATGCTCATTGTTTTTCCTAATGTGAGATTCTCCCAACCTGGAATGGATTTTTATTTTCTTCATCTGTAGGGCTAAAACAAATAACCATCACAAACCGTGGACTACATGTGTTAAAACACCACAGAGTCAGGGAAAGTTTTTATAGAAACTTCTTCTCATATGTTCCACTGTGTCCTCTCTCCAACTTTGAACATGACCTTCAATTGTCAGGCTTAAATGTAGTAGTTTTATTTGGCTGTTGAACCTAATTATAATGAATGAAAGGCTCTGAGACTTATCACAGATGAGGTGGTGAGCCTTTTACAGAAATGCCTTCAAATAAACTTTTGTAGCTTAATATATTTGTGGCACCTAACAGCTGTGTGCTACTCCTAGAAAATTTAATCCCACACACTGATCATTTGGCACAGAAAATAAGATGTGGGGTGGGAAGGGGAACCTTAGATTTAAATTGTGTATACAAATATTTATGTAAGCATAAAACACTATCAACAAACACGCAGATGCTGCAGTATATACACTTTGCATGGTGAGAAATCTAAAGATTAATTCTGACATTATTTTCAAGGGGAAGATTCTTTTCACATGAGTTTAAATAGTTTGGATACACTGTATTAAATTTTTTTTTTTTTTACTTTAGGGGTTAGTTATTCCTCATTTATTAAGCAAACATCGAGCTGCTAAAAAAAGACCAAGAACATCTGAAAAATATGGTCCCATTCTTCACAGAAAAGCTTTTAGTTCTGAAGACATTTTATGTGAAAACCTGAAATAATAATAGATCTTTGGAGGACACATTATTTGTTTTTCCTATGGGTTACACATATGGGATTTCAGGTACAGGAAAGATCTACATAGGAAGGGAGAATCAAAAGGGGTTTCTAGAGGGTAAGTGTTGAGATGGAACTTAAAGGAAAGATATGATTTATATAGGCAGTGAGCAGGGTCTGATTAAATATTGCATATTTTGTGTGTATAAACTTTGTGTATATCATGCACTGCAATTCACTGTGATTTTTTAAAATTCACAAACTTTGGCTTTTAGAGCACTTTTAAGTTTATGCAAAGTTCATCAGAAAGTATGAAGAGTTTCCAAATACCCCCATTTCCACATATGTTCAACCTCTCCCACTAAACCTAACCTATTCTAGGGCTCTCAAAAAACATGTAGTGGCTTGAATGGTGCCCCCCTTTCCCCTCCCATTTTTTTCTCCTGGCTGGAAAAAAGTGTGTTCACTCAGAATTTATGAATCTAACTTTACTTAGAAAAACCATATTTGAGGATGTAATTAAGGTAAGGATCTTCAAATTAGATCATCCTAGACTAGGGTAGGCCTTAATGAATATGAAATGCAAAGTGTCCAATGAAAAGTGTCTTTAGAAGACACAGACACAGAGAAGAAGGAAAGAAGACACAAAGAGAAGACCATCTGAATCTGGAGGCAGAGACCGGGGTTGTATAGTTACAAGCCAAACAAGTACTCGAAACCATCAAAACCTGGAAGAGGCAAGGTAGGAGTCTCCTCTGGAGCCTTCAGAAAGAGAATAGCCCTACGAACACATTGATTTTAGACTTCTGGCCTCCAAAACTGAGAGGGTATTAATTTCTGTTGTTTTTAAGCCACTAAGTTTGTGATAATTTGCTATATAGAAGCTCTAGAAAATTGATGGTCTTGACTTAAAGAATTTCCACCTTCTTTCCTTTCCCTTGACAAGAGTTTGTGTCAGTATTGATGGCCATTTCATTTAACATGCCTGTAGCAGTAGACATGGCTGGCTGTGTGTTCCACCTTCCATGGAATAGATTTTTCTTTTTGAAGTAGTTGTCCAGACAGGGGCTACATTTTCCATCACTTCTTTCATCTTGATCAAGTGTATGTGCAGTTCTGGCCAATGAAATATGAGCAAAATTGATGTATGTTACTTCTGAGGGAAGGCACTTAAGAGTGTGTTTTTTTCCTACTTTCTTGAATCATGTCTATTGGCTGGATCAGAAGACTCCAAGGATCTAGCGGATGGCAACACCACAAGATGGCATTGTCATTGTAGCTTAATGAAGCACATGACACTATGGAGGGGAGTGGGTTTTTTTAATTAAAGTGGGGTTCTGTCAGTCAGGCGAAACGGAGGTGGGCAACACACAATATCTACTACAACTACTTTATTATGTTCATATGCTTGTTACTTTGCTTTGATAGAGTTGCTTTGATGGAATTCAGATATTTGAAAAATACCTTTCCAAAGGACACATTCTTAGCTTCTTGGTAATAATGATAGTATTTAACTGTAAATTAATATTCAAATGCTAATGAAACACTTTCACTAAATACTCATTTAATTCTTAAAGACCCCTGTCATGTAGCTAAAACCAGTTGAACTAACTAACATTAGAATTAAGAAATTTTGACTTCAAATCCACACCTCTTTCTCTGCAGTACTTCATTTACAAATGGAAATTCTTATTGCCTGGGAGACCTAAGCTTGTCATCTGTAGTGAACATGTGCTCTTTTTTGCTACCTAGTATGTATTTTCCTTTCTTTAATTAATGCTTATCTGAACTTCTGGGAGAACCACCCTTTCTGCTACTCTCAGCCTAACTAGAGTTGACTCTATCCCTGAATCCAGGGATGAACATGTGATTCAGACTGGCCAATCAGAAATGGCATTCCTCTGGCCTGTGGCCCAATATAGGCCAGTGAGAGTCAGGTCCAGAACTTTCATTGTGTAGAGGAAAATGTAAGAAGTGCACTGTCGGCAGACATCTTGCTCACCGTGTAGCAGCTAAGAAGCCAACAGAGTTGACATATCAGACACAGGGAGCCGGAGACGTCTTTTGAGTCCCTGAACCCTGTCAAGTCAGAAGTCAAATTTATTTGTTTGTTGACTTTTCAGAAGATTCCCTCTTCTGCTTAAACCAGTTCAAGTTAGATTTTCTTTATCAACTGTTTATAAAATAGTGACTTTTACCTCATGTGGATAAACAGTCATTTAAAAAAAGAAAAGTAAGATACTCCAGTATCCAGTATCCAGTACAGAGCTACTTCATGCTTAATCACTTCTAGTTTCAGAACTTTGAGCCAGGGACACTGAGCTAGTGTAGCCCCAGGTACAAGATTTGAAAGTTTCCTGCTCAGGATTCTGCATCCTTACTCATGAGGTCTGAGTATTAGGAGCCCCAAACAGGGAGAAGCTCAGTAAAAAGAAAATTTGTTGAACGTTGAGTGAATCTGGGGTAGTATGGACTTCCATGAAGTTCCAAGTATGTATTCATGCTTTACTATTGAACTAAATTGTTCACAATTCTGCAACAGCTTGTGGCTTAATGTTCAGTAGGATAAACTTTTTTTTTTCTGTTGCTTTGTAATTACTTGAAGTACACTTTATGGAGAATAACACCCAAAATTTAATTGTGTGACTGTGTTCTTATACATATGGGAGAGGGTATGGGAGGGAAGGTAAAGAGATTCCTTTGCCAAGGGGTGGAATTTTAAAATGCAGTTCATGTGTTGTATTTGCCTTATTGACATTTATCCTTCAATATAACCTAGAGTCAGGCTATTTGGATGATCACCACATCACAGTCAAGAGCTATGAATGACCTTCATTGATTTTGTTATTTCATTTCTTTAGTACATACCCAGCAATTTGCCCATCCAAAATTACAGTTGTGCTGTTTCTGAATCTATGCTGCTTTAGTGTTTATAGGTATGAAAGGAATTTGGGAAATATAATTTTCTGATTATTTGAGAAAGATGAGATTTTTAAAAAAATGTTCACTGAGTCAGAAAATTATTTTAATAGTTACAATTTTTTAAAGAATCAGTATAAGATAGCAGTTGATTTCTCCATAATTATCAGAATTATTTATACTTGAGGTCTTGACTAAGTGGGGCTGAAATCAACATAAGGTCTTAGGCTGTTGGCTCAGAAATCATCCCAGGAAGCTTGTCTTATTGATATGTATCATGCTTAGCTCCTATGAGATGATCTGGTCCTTTTTAAAAAAAGTATCTCTTTCTTCATTCTTTGGAGGCTTGAAGTGAATTTGGCAGTATTCGTTAAACACCTTCCAGCTCCTTTCATTTACCACTCTTCAACATTCAGTTCTGACTGCATCCATTTCAACTTTTTCTGCTCTTTTCTAAGTTGCTTTAATAATGTTAAATCATCCAAATTTTTATCTTTCTCTTCTTGGAAGTTTTTTACTACTGCTGTGGTCTGGACTATACAATTTTTTTATGGCTCTTTCCTTACTGGCATGAGCTGCCATCAAAGACTCATAAAATTGTTTATAGTTTTGGCTGGCATCAATTTTTCCCTGCAAAGGAAGCTGTGGGAACCATAGTGTTTAACTCATGTACTATTCTGTCATCAATTTTCCTCATCACCTTGAGTAATAATTCCTGTAACTTAGGAAACTCCTCACAATTCACATCACCACTGGGCGCCACCATATTGGATCAGAAAAATGAGATGTTTTAAACCACTTGGCTTGCATTGATTTCCTACCTGTACACCTTGGAAAAGTCAGGTCCTCTGATTTCTTCTTCTACATGAGCCACTGGAAAGGATGAAATGAGGCTGGGGATAGAATAGTATGTGAAGAGCACTATTTACTATATGCAGAAGAGGAAAATCCTACCGTACATATGCTCCTCAGTTAATAGGTTTTCTGTAGAATGTAAACTTCTTGAGGCCAAGAACCTTGACTGTCCCTTGGAAGAGCTAATCCATGGTGAATGCTTAATAAATATTTTCTGAAAAACAACTGAAAAGATGGTTGAATAAAGAAATCTTCAGAAATTAAACAAATAATGCCATAACTTTCATTGTAAAACTCAGGGTCCAATTACGCTTTTAGCCTAATTCAATCCTATTAACCTGAAACTGAGAGGTGAAGCTGGCTGGGCTTCTGGGTCAGGTGGGGACTGGGAGAACTTTTCTGTCTAGCTAAAGGATTGTAAACGCACCAATCAGCACTCTGTGTCTAGCTAAAGGTTTGTAAACACACCAATCAGGGCTCTGTGCCTAGCTAATCGGGTAGGGGACTTGGAGAGCTAGACAGAAAGTCTAGCTAAAGGATTGTAAATGCACCAGTCAGCGCTCTATGTCTAGTTAAAGGTTTGTAAACACACCAATCAGCACTCTGTCAAAACGGACCAATCAGCACTCTGTAAAACGGACCAATCAGCACTCTGTAAAATGGACCAATCAGCTCACTGTAAAGTGGACCAATCAGCAGGATGTGGGTAGGGCCAAATAAGAAAATAAAAGCAGGCCACCCAGCCTCAGTGGCAATTGGCTGGGGTCCACTTCCCCACTGTGAGAGGTTTTTTCTTTTGCTCTCTGCGATGAATCTTACTGCTGCTTACTGTATGGGTCTGCACCCGCCTTTATGAGCTGTGAGACTCACCACTAAGGTCTGCAGCTTCACTCCTGAAGCCAAGGAGACCACTAACCCACCGGGAGGAACGAACAACTCTGGACGGGCCGCCTTTATGAGCTGTAACACTCACCGCGAAGGTTTGCAGCTTCACTCTTGAAGTCAGCGAGACCAGGAACCCACCAGAAGGAAGAAACTCTGCACACGTCCGAACATCAAAAGGAACAAACTCTGGACACACCATCTTTAAGAACTGCAACACTCACCACGAGGGTCCGCGGCTTCATTCTTAAAGTCAGTGAGACTAAGAACCCACCAATTCTTGGACATAAAACCAGTAATTCTTATCAGCACAGGCACAAGCTATTTTATTTATCTTTGTATTAATCATTTATTCAACAAATAATAACTGAATGCTTACAAAGTATTAGCCTGGAATTGTCAAAAGAGGATGATAACATCCCCTTTCCCCAGAGGAGTGTTTGAAAATGTATGGGGACATTTGTCATTGTTATTGTTACAATTACTGTCTTTGTTGGAATTTAGCGAGTTGGGGGACAAACATACTAAATATTCTATAAACTCTTCCACTATTAGTGGAATTTGAAGTTTGTTTCGAGTCATTATGAACATTCCATACTTGTCTGCTGGTAAGATTCCTTTCTTAGGGCATATATACAAGAGTTTCAATGGCTTAAAAACTCTTAATCGTGGCCAAAAGTAATACATTTTGTGTCACAACGCTGAAACACATATGTGTGTGGATAACTGAAACAAATAATTCACGAGAATATATCCCTTAGTATGTTTTTATGCACACCAATTTATTAAAAAATAATGCTGCTTGCTATAATACTAAATTGATTTTCAAAATCTATTCATTCACCAAAACTCAGTTTAAAAAGCAAAACTCTACAGGGCAGACCTAGTGGTGGAATTATTGCATCAAAGAGTATGCTTATGTTTTTCTCAAAATATCAAACTATTTTTAAAGTTGTTATTTTAACTTATACCTACTAAGAATGGGTGAAGAAATTCTGTTGCTCTAAAACTTTACTTTTGGTCTTTTTAAGTTCTACACGCATGTGTGCTGTTGTAGTATATAAAATTTTATATCTTTTTAACATTTAACAATATGAACAATTTCTGGTGTCATTAGTTGGTATTAAAACATGAGGTTTTTTGAATTAAAGAATAATATTTTATTGTGAGGATACATGATCATGTATTTGATTCTTCCCCTATTGTTGTACATAACTATGCTTCTAAGACTTTGGACAACTCTATAATGAAATCATTAATTTTATATACTATTTTACTAATTGATCTCTGGTTGCATCTTATGACAGATTTCAAGACCCAGTATTACTGGGTCAAAGGGAATGACCATGTTTATAGCTTTTGATATACATTTTCAAATTGCGTTCCAGAAAATGTATACCTGTTTACTTTTTGATAGATCCAGGTTTTCCTACTTTTGACTGAGTAAAATCAAGTTTAACTAAACATGTAACATTAGACAACAGTGTTCTATTTATAAAACATTACCCTTAAATAGATTTGGAAATGTGTTTTCCAGTCTCCATATTTAGAATGGTAAATGTAAACAGAAGAAAGGAAGGAATTTCCAGCCTTAACACTGTATTAATTTATTTTGCTTTAATAGCTGTTTGCCTCACTGTGGAATAAAAATAACACTGTACTAGGCACCAGAAGGCCTGGCTTTTATTTGTTTTTTGTTTTTTTTTTTTTGTTTTTTTTTGAGATGGAGTCTCGCTCTGTCGCCCAGGCTGGAGTGCAGTGGCACGATCTCGGCTCACTGCAAGCTCCGCCTCCCGGGTTCACGCCATTCTCCTGCCTCAGCCTCCCGAGCAGCTGGGACTACAGGCGCCCGCCACCACGCCCGGCTAATTTTTTGCATTTTTAGTAGAGACGGGGTTTCACCGTGTTAGCCAGGATGGTCTCGATCTCCTGACCTCGTGATCCGCCCGCCTCGGCCTCCCAAAGTGCTGGGATTACAGGCGCGAGCCACCGCGCCCGGCCAGGCCTGGCTTTTAATCTTACCCCTTACCCGCCACTTGAATCTGCCTCCATAGAATGATTTTGTTCTGCTCTGCTTATCTCACGGAGGATGTGTGAGAGTTAAATGACCTAGATGAAGCAAAATCATCGGTATTCAAATTGGTCAAGTGAAAAAACAAATCATAAGAAGTTCATTTGGAAATATGTTTAATCTAGCCAATTGATTTACCACAAGGGCATAGATCTTGAGTAAGAAATCCGGTTTTCCATGGATTTTACCAAGGAGGTAAGACTGGATTCTACACCTAGTAGACAATATTTTTCTTATTTATTTTTTAAATAAAAAAGGCAAATTAAAGTAAACTTCCCATAATTAAAAGGTAAACAAAAGCAACAACAACGAAAAAGCCCAATGCCTGGGCTACAGCAGCTTGAAGTCCTGATTTAATAGATCTAGAATGGGGTCTGGGCTTTGACATATTTTAAAGCTCTTTAGGTGATTTAATGTGTAGGTGGAAATGTGATCTTCTAGAACTACGCTGTCCAGTATGGTAGCCGCTAGTAACGTGTGGCTATATACATCTAAATTTAAGCTAATTAAATAGTATTACGAATTTAGTTTCTTAGTAACGGTAGGTACACTTCCAATGCTCAACTCTCACATATGGCTAGGTTGGTAGTTACCATCTTGGACAGCACAGAAGAACTTTTGTAACATTACAGAAAATTCTTCTGTTAGATAGCACTGGTGTTAAGGCATATACAATTGATGAAGAAAGGAAATCTTTTGATAAGCGAGTAGTATTTTTTCTTCTTTTCTCATTCATCAAATACTACTGTGGGCTTGCTGTGTTTCAGCCAGTGTATTAGATAGGTGTTTCCCCCTTATCTGTTAGTCTTCTGTATTTGTCATGTCCAAGTAACACCTGTTTTGATGATTAGTTTCCGTTTTTAAAAATAAGTTTATTTTAAAAGTAAATATGTTTCTTTATATAAATTAAGTATCACTAATATTTGCCTTAAATATACAAAAAGTTTTTAAAATATAAGGTGAAGATTTCTAGCAACAAAATCCAATTATGAGGTACCTAAGTTCTAATACAAAGAATATGCTAGATAAAAGGTAACAGTTGTTAAAGTTTCAACACAGACCTATCTGAACTCAAAATACAGAGAACTACTTAGATCCCAGTAAAAACAGAGAAATCAAAGGCAGAGTGGTGAGCAGGTGGGAAGTCCTAGAGTTCCATTCAGATGCTCGTCCCAGTTATAGCCATAAAGGTTGGAGATCTAGTAGCCAGATTGGGACGTTTGTTGTGTGGAGAAGCTGGAACTGACACTTCCACGCCTTACCCCATCTAGCAAACAAAAGAATCACACACAAAATCACACACACACTCCTGAATGTGCACAATTAACTCAACTTTTCTGGCAAAATTAAAAAAAAAAAAGCAAGGATGCATAAAGCCTATGTGGATGAACAGAAAATTTTGACAAGTAATAAAAAATAACTCTAGGTCTACTATGAGGGCTACATCAAATTGATTGGACCATGGAGTGCCCAGACATTTGGTCAAACATTATTCTGGGTGTGTCTGTGAGGATGTTGTTAGCTGAGAATAGCATTTGAATTAGCAGAATGAATGAAGCAATTTGCCCTCCTTAATGTGGGTGGGCTTGATCTAATCAAGTGTAGACCTGAATAAAACAAAAAGGACTGAGTAAGAGGGAACTCTTCCTGACTGACTGCTTGAGTTGAGAGATCAGTCTTCTTCCCTGGAACTGGAACTTATACCATTAGCTCTCCTGGTTCCCAGGCCTTCAGACTCAGACAGAACTGTATCACTGACTCTCCTGGATCTCTAGCTTGGGGACTGCCAAGCTTGGGACTTCTCACCTTTCATAACGGCATGAGCCAATTCCTTGTAATAAATCTACATACACACACACACACACACACACACACACAATCTCCTATTGGTTCTATTTCTTTAAAGAACCCTGACTAATACACCCACAAACCACGTTTAAACAGATGAGCCTGCTCCCTCTTTCCTAGGAGACAGAAATTGGGATCATGATTTAATGTTCCCACTGAGACTTGGAATTCTTGATTAACCAAGGCAAAGGCCCAAGAGACAGTGATTGCAGCAGAATTGAGAGTCCAGTGGCATATAGCTGAGTGGCCAGCTATAGAGGAACCCAGTAGCCAAGCATCCAGTGTCCAGGGGATGCCAATGCCAGTGCCAATAGTGATGGCATCAGAAAAAACTCTGGCAGGCTCTTGGCCACAGCTTGTCTCCATTGATTCCAAACTTTCTGGCAATTCTACTTAAATTTTTGTTTTTCTACAGGCTATAATAATTCACTAAGTAACATGAACAGGGAAATGACAAGATTAGTGCCATACGTCTATGTTCATAGAATGTTGGTCATTTCTTTTGGGAACAACTCCTCCTTCAACACTCACAAAATGGGATGCTTTTGAAGAGCTCTAAATTTAGATTGCGTTTTCCTCTGTGCTATTTTTGATTTGGGCCAGCTCTCTGATGTGAAGTGTCAGTGCATCCCAAGGTACAAATCAAGTGGCATGATGAAAAGATCCCCGCTCCAAAATGTCCATCTTTCTCCCTGACCACAGACTCTCCTTCTTACCTGAAAATTCCAACTATTAGTAGTTTCCATATGTTATGAACACACCAGGTCCCTTTGACTCTCTCTGCCCTACAGTGGCAATGCATAGTTGCCCTAGGGTCAGATAGATGCAGACCTTCATACTAGCTCTACTGTGGTCTATCTGTGTGATGTTGGGCAACTTGATTACACTTGAAGCCACAGTTTTTCTTCCCTGTAAAATGGCACAATAGTTGTATTGAACTCACAGAGGTTTTATGAGGTTTAGGTGAGATGACGCTTGTAGAGAACTTCTCACAGTGCCTAGCATATAGACATTATAAGTACTAGTAGTAGATATGATATTAATATCTTGGAAATCCAAAGGACAGGAGTGTGACAGGCTTCAGTTGGTTGGAAGTGGTGCTGCAGAATCAAGTCCAACTTGAACCAGAAGCATTTTAAGAAAATCATAGGACATAGGAAACTTTTTATTTATAGGTTCAATCTCCCATGTTCTACATTAAATAACCTTTTATGCTGTAAAGTATTGAGAAGATTTTTATGACTGTGCTTTTAAAATTAATATTAATAACTTATTGAACTTACATTGCTTGTGGTATCTTAGAAATCACTAGGCTTATATTGAAATCCTTTTGAAGTAATAGTCAAATTTATACATTCTTTCCAAGGCAATAACATTTTTATAAATATTAATGTTTTGGTGAGGCTTTGTATAAGCAAAGGAAGTTTTCTCCAATTTTTATTATGAAATTTTTTTGACAAATATACTGATAAAATAGTTCAATTTACATCTTTATGTCCTCCACCTGGATTTACCAGTTGTTTATATTTTGCCATATTTGTAGTATATTTATACATACCAACAAATGTGAATATATTTTTCTTTTTTGGCTGAAATATTTGAAACTTGGCAAGTATCATAATGCATCATCCCTAAATCATCAGCAGGCATCTCCTACGTAATCATAGTCCCTTTATTACACTTAAGAAAATTAATGAAAATTCTTCAAATATCTCTCATATCTGGTCCATTTTCAGATGTCTTTTGCAGCTGATTTCTTGAACCAGGATTAATGACATTTTAGGATTGTACTTGGCATGACTCTTTTTATCTTTTAATATAAAACCATTTTTCTCTTCATGACATTGACTTGCTCAATCTTTTAAGATGCTTCCATTCTGGGTTTGTTTGTTTCTTCATGGTGATGGCCTCCATCTCCTTTATATATCTTATCAACTGGTAGTTAGGTCTAGATCGTTGACTAAGTTCAGTTTCAACATTTCTGGAATACTACATCACAGTGATGTGAATTTCATATCGTATCACAGTAGACAAGGCTCATTGCAGGTTGTATCACAGACCAATGGCTTGACTACTTGCAAGCATGGTAACCCCATCTCTCTCCATTGTAAAGGTACATTTTCTCCTTTTGCAATCATTAAGTAATGGGCAGTGGGGGGTAGCAGGAGTCAGTACTTTGGAAAAAATATGAAAAAATATACTGAGGTTATCCTAATAATCTTTTATCTAATGATTGTAGCATTCATGGATGATCCTTGCCTGAATTGTTTATTACATTAGGGAATCCAAAAGGGTGATCTTCTGTTATCATTCCCTCTACATTTATTAGTTGGTATTATTTCTCTCTTTTTCTTTTTACATCTAAAAATAGGTTCATAAGTTGAACAATATAAAACCACTAAATTTAATAAGAAGTAAAACTGACATAATGTGATAGAATGCTACATTTTATATTTGTAGATTTATACATTACATTAATTTAACAGGTAAAGCCAACACATTTTCTTATGCATATTTAGCTCTTGAAAAATTCATAGCCTCTGTGGCACTACAGTGCCTAGTGGATAACATAGCTTTGATTTGAACTATTTCTGAGCACACAGTCAGCATCAAATAGTTCTGATTGTGTTGTTCAGCACTGAGTGAGCATGTCAGCAGGTGAGGGAAAAATGTGTGGTTAAGAAAAACAATCTGCCCAAAATCCAAGGACCCAGAGGTCAGTGTGATAGCACTGGGGGGACAGGGAAGGGGTGTGAGATGGTGTGGGGCACAGGAAGACCACAGACAAATATGTGTCTCAGTGTTATTTCCTGTGACCCACTATGATTTAAATCATATTTGGGACACATATTTGTCTGTGGTCTTCCTGTGCCCCACACCGTCTCACACCCCTTCCCTGTCCCCCCAGTGCTATCACACTGACCTCTGGGTCCTTGGATTTTGGGCAGATTGTTTTTCTTAACCACACATTTTTTCCTCACCTGCTGACATGCTATCGATAAGGATTTTGAATGTTTATTCTGGAAAAAAGGCTGCTAGCATTCCTTTCAACGATTTACTTCTAAACTTGAAAGATCATTCACTTATTAATTTCTTCACTTATTCCCTTATGAAAACTGACTGCACACACCTACTGTGTTCTGGGCCTAGAGAAGACTCTCTCTCCTCTGGGAAGGAGAAACACACCTAAGCATTCATAGCGACATCAGCATGCTCCTGTCAATGCTCATGTCCACAGAAACCTACTAATTTGGGGTTATAATTCAACTCAGTCTCTCTCAAATATGTGTATTTGCTTTTTCATGCTAATGTGAATGGTGTTTGGGTTTTCATTTTCTTTCCTGAGTTGTTCTTAACGGTCTCCAGTGATGAAGAGAATTATAAGGGCGAATTTTATAACTACTGTCACATTGAAAAAAATGTTTTTATTCAGACTGCATGGTCTCTTTTGAAGCAATGACATCATTAAAAGTTTTTTTTATTTGTCCCCAATTATTTTTTAGCAGAATTTTTGGACCTATAGTGATTAAGAGCATGATTTAGCTTCAAAACATCCACATGTATGGAGCTTGGTCCACATCTCTCTTGATCTGTAGTGTCTTTATGTGTAAAATAGAAATTAAAATATCTATTCCACAGAGCTGCTGAAAAAGCTATATATACAGCATATGCCTCAATGAGCCTAGTGCTAAATAAATGGTAGCTATGATAGCTGTGTTATTCATAACAGTGTTTGACACCTAAAACTGACATCATGTGCATTTATTTTCTATTAGCAAGCTGTTAAAGTAAACCCTGAGTAATTTCCCTTGCTTTGGTTCCTTCTTACTTCACTTTGGCACTGCATATTCATCAAGCTCATTGCTCCCCTTCATCATTTCCCCCTTGAAAATTTTCAGTTGCTTATGGCATAAACAGCACATTCCCAAGGCCGGTTTTCTCAGACCTCTGGCAATCAAAGTGGATTGTTTACTCTCTTCTCTAAACTCTCTGTATAATTCTCTTGCATGCTCATCAGACCATCCCCAGACTCTTGTAGTAGCCTATATGTCCTACGTATTTCTGGGAGTTCCCCTGAAGATCAGTAGGAACTCACAAACACATCTGGTCTGTCACCATGTAGCTTTGGCAGTGTGTTTCTTTATCAGTCCTACATTGATGAGTACCATGGAGTCCCTCACTGTCATCCTTTGCTCCTTCTACTTGATGAAGGAACAAGGCTCTGTGGCTCGTGCCTCCACTACGCTCCTATTGTGGACTTTCCAGCACCATATTTGCCACAGCTGAAACATGGTAGGTTATCTCTGCAAAATGGGGATGAATGTCTCTCTCTATTTTCAGTTAGTCTTAAGCCTCCAGCACCTATGAGGCTTTCAGCTTTTGTTTCCTTAAAGCTTTCCCATCTTCATCACTGCAGGACTCAGTCCAAAGTTCTTGAAGGCTGGGCCAGAAGATAAATTGTCCTGGCAAACACCATGCTGTACTCCACACCACACCTTTTTCTGACAGCTGCGGTTTTGTTACTGATTAAACCTTTGTGGGCCTGCTACTTTTCCCATTAGAATGTGTCATTGTCCAACAAGATACTAAGGGCCACTTAAAAAATAAAACCTCTCTGGCCGGATGCAGGGGCTCACGCCTGTGATCCCAGCACTTTGGGAGGCTGAGGCGAGAGGATTGCTTGAGGCCAGGAGTTTGAGATCAGCCTGGGCAATAAAGCGAGACCCCACCTCTACAAAAAATACAGATTAAATTTTTTTTAAACTTTTTATTACACTAGTTTGCCTGACATTTCCAGACATGCCTTAAAAACAGCTGTAGAGATGATGAAGTCTCCTTCTGAGATCTCTCCTCTTTGTTTAACTCATATGAACCTGACTGTATTATAAGCTTCCTTTGGACAGAGCTCATGTCCACAGTGCCTAGAACATAGTAAGTTCTCAATAAACTTTTATTAAATAGATGAATTAATTAAAATAATAATACTAATATTTATTGAGTACTAGATGCAATTTCTTGTGTTTTATATTCATTAGCTTGTTTAATCATTATTAAAACTCTGTAAAGAGGTATTTTTATTCCAGTATGTGACCCAATACCTTCCTTTTGCTCCTGTAATTCTGATCTCAGCCCTTCTCCTTCTCTCTGTTGCAGGAGGTGGGCCCATGTGAACTACCACAGTGGGGCTTCTTACCCTCTGGTTTGTGTGGGTTTGGCTATTGGGAGGCCAGGAGGTCAGAGGGAGAGAGGAGAGAGGAATAGGGGCTGATCATTTCCTGGCCTCTTCATTGTGATATTGCCTGGGTCAGGTTGGGACCTTCTCTGAAAGTAACAGGTCTTCTCAAGATGGCTTTATTCTCAGGATCTCTCATGTTCCCTCCCTTTTCCCTTTACATTAGGAGTGGTAACAGCCCGACACTACCACACTCAGGCTCCTTCACCACATATAGTGCTGTCCTTTACACTTACACCCCACTTTAGTAGATAATCAGTTTGGTAACCGCTTCTCTAATTATATTATTTTAAGAAAGTCATCCTTATCTCTCTGGGACTCTGTGTGGAAAGCATGTTGCTAATGAGGTAACTGAGGCCCACAGAGATTAAGAACATTCCTTAAGATCACTATACTAAAGGTGCCAATGTGGGAGTTTGTATCCAAGCCCATGGCTTTAATGACCACATCATGCACACATGAAACTGCATTTGAATGCTGGGTGGCAGTGATGCACAGCGGATAAGCATATTACCATTGCAGTCACAAAGATCTGGGCTTCAAAATGGGCTCCACAACCTAGTTACAGTATAACATTGGACAAATGACTCTAGCTCTTTAAGATTCAGTTCCTAAATCTGTGAAATGGGGATTCTACCTACCTTGGAATTTTTATAAGATTTAATTTTATGTTAATTTATGTAGAGTGCTACCATAGTGTTTTGTACCTAATAAAGACTTAATAGTTATCATAAAAGCTATTCTGAAGGGGATTATTTGGAACTATGAGAGAACACAAGAGAAGTTTCATATGTGGTACCTTTAGTTAAGATGCTTATAGTAGTAACAGAAAATAATCAAATACTGGATGGTTAGAACAGACATTGGAATTAAAGAGTTCTGGGGAAAGGGAAGAAACTCGTGGTATAAAGCAGATAGGTCAGGATTCATTTTGTTTCTTCACCTCTTTGGTGCATTTATTTTCTTGCCTTGGCTCTGGCAATCCTGCTGAGAGTGCAAGCATCCCTCAGGCAATGTGGTCTGAGTGAACTAACAGACATTAGCAGCCTTCATCATGAGCCTTCTTTCTGGCTGTTAATTCTTGTGGTGATAACACTTCCACTTGGTGGGGGAACAAGGCCACTGTAGTGGCCTGCCTAGCTGTGCTACTGGGATTAGATTGCCACAGGGCTGCACTCTTAAAAACAAAGCCTACTTTTTCAATGAGGACAATTATGCAGTATTCCCATAATGGCTTCGCAGCTTGAATTAAAATTGTTTAAAAAGTTGCCAGTACATGAAAAATATGTCTTACCTGTGAACTCTGTAGAGAGATGGACAATGCAAAGTAAATAGTGAATACTTTTTTATGGGCAAAAATATTCCAGGGGTACATCTAATTTATGGCAAGGCTTGCAAATGTCTGACATGTTTATACTTCCCACCCCCTATTAAAATCAGAGATAGCCTTAGAATCTCTAAACACAGCACTGAAAAATGGCATCATTTACTTGATTAAAGTTAGTACAAAAGATAAGAGCTTTGCTAGCACTGTTGTTCTATGAAGAGGAGGATCCTACCTTTCCATGTCATATCACTGTCCAGTGTTTACCACTGAGTATAAAACCAAATAGAACTGGTTTCATTTTATTGGCTGAATTATTATATAATGTTATTGACAATATTGTATAAGTAAGCCAGAATTTGTATGTGGAAATGTAAATGTAGACTATTAGCTACATCCTGAATTATGATTTTTAAAATCCTTATTTGTGTTGTCTATAGGAATAGTATCAGTTAGCTTTTGCTGTGTAACAAACCATTCCAAATTTAAGTGACATTAAAAAAAATCATTTTATTTGTTTATGATTCGGAGGGTCAGCAATTTGGCCTCAGCCCTGTTGTGATGGGTCTTTGTTCCTGCAGTCAACTAGGGGCTGGTGATCTCATTCACATGTCTAATAGTTGGCTGCCTGTTGGCAGAGACAATTGAGGTAACTGCAGCATGTCCCACTTATCATCCAGAGGCTGGACAGGGCTTATTATCAGGGAGGTGGTCAGAATTTTCCCAAGAGCAGCAAGAGAGCATTTGCATGGGCACCTGGGGCTTGCCCTCTCTTGCTGCTCTTGGGAAAATTCTTTCCTCAGTTTGTGTCAGACTTGCTATTTTCCCATTGGCCAAAGCAAGCTACATGGTTAAGCCAGGGTCAGTGTGAGAGGGTATTTCCCAAAGGCATAAATATGAGAAGAAATTATTACCCGGCATGGTGGCTCATACCTGTAATCCCAGCACTTTGGGAGGCTGAGGCGGGCAGATTGCCTGAGCTCAGGAGTTTGTGACCAGCACAGGCAACGCAGTGAAATCCCGTCTCTACTAAAATACCAAAAATTAGCCCAGTGTGGTAGCCTGTAGTCCCAGGTACTTGGGAGGCTGAGGTAGGAGAATCCCTTGAACCCGGGAGGTGGAGGTTGCAATGAGCCGAGATGGTGCCACTGCACTCCAGCCTGGGTGACAAGAGCAAGACTCCGTCTCAAAAAAAAAAAAGAAAAAAAAAGAAATTATTATAAGTATTTTTCTAAACAACCTACCACAGGGATGCTGTTCCAAAATAATAATGTGTGGTAATGAAACAATATGCTTATATTCATATAATTTTTCAGAAAAGGCTTATTGTAATATAATAATTATACTTAGAAATTACATGGAGACATTTAATATTATTATTTCAATTAAATACTATACTGAACCATTGCTCTTAACCTTATCCCTACTACTAAAAATATTTAACTTTCATAATCATCCAAATGAGAAAGGTACTACTGTTATTCCCATTTTACACCTGAGGAGATTCAGACTTAGAGAAGTTGTAGATCTTTCCCAATGTCACCATAGCTGAGAGAATAACATTTGAGGAACTTTGAGGATATACTAATTTAATGTATATGAGGAACTTAACATGGTGCCTTCCACGGAGTGTTCAATGAGTATATGGATGCTATATTTATAATATAATATTATTCATAATAGTTGAGTATGAAAGATTATTTTAATTTATTTTAAAAGTCAGGTCATATATAGCTATAAAACTAAGAACTCACTAACATATTAAATTTCCCATTATGGACATATCTATAATTGGTTCTATATTTTGCTTTAACTGGAACTGACTACAAATCCAATATAAACTCTAGTTTTCAGGGAAGTCATGTAACTCAGCTCACTAAGAAACAATCAAACTTTTCAAGCACCACTCATTAAGCTATGTCATTAAATCTGAAGCTACATTACCAAAACACTAAATAATTGGCTAGCTTCTCTTTATTCCTTCAGTGATTACAAAAGATGTCTTTATCAAATCTTTATGGATGCCATATGTTATTCATTTTGGTTAAAAGTAGAAGGGTTTATTTGAAGGAAGGAGGTTAAATTCCACATATTATATATAATATATATTATATATAAATATAATATATATTATAATATAAATATATATAATATAATATAATATATAACATTATATTAATTATATATATTATAATATATAATTATATATTATAATTATATTATATAATATATAATATATAATTATATATAATATATATGATTTATAATATAATTATAATATATAATATATATATTATATATTATAATTATATTATATATCTAAATATAATATATATTTATATTTTATAAATATATAATATATAATATAATATATATAATATATAATATATTATATATTATAATTATATTATATATCTAAATATAATATATATTTATATTTTATAAATATATAATATATAATATAATATATATAATATATAATATATTATATATTATATATGTATTTCACCTCTGCATTATATATATATTTTATATATACATATATATTTCACCTCTGCATTAGTCACATGGTGAGAAAAGAATAGAACTGGAAATCGTGTTTTAAAAAGAATCTTTTATTTTATTTTTTACTTATTTATTTATTTTTTTGAGGCAGAGTCTTGCTCTGTCACCCAAGCTGGAGTGCAATGGCATGATCTCGGCTCACTGCAACCTCTGCCTCCTGGGTTCAAGTGATTCTCCTGCCTCAGCCTCCTGAGTAACTGGGATTACAGGCACCTGCCACCATGCCCAGTAATTTTTGTATTTTTTAGTAGAGACTGGGTTTCACCATGTTGGTCAAGCTGGTCATGAACTCCTGACCTCAGGTGATACACCCACCATGGCCTCCCAAAGTGCTGGGATTACAGGCATGAGCCACCTCACTTGGCCTTAAAAAGAATCTTTAAAGGATACCTTAAAGAAATGTGAAACAGGTTTATGCTACACTTGATAACATTCTTCCATTTTCCTGAATGGAGTCCAGAAAAATACTAAATGCCGACATCTAGTCATCGAATGATAATTTTCATATCAAAGTTGAGTGTGAATGACTCATTAATTCTTTGATTGCTCTGTTCTCTTATAATTAACTTGAAATCAAAGAAAGAATAGGCGGAGAGAGTATAAGGGCTGGAGTTCTCCAGGTTAGTTTGTTAAAACTCGGTTAAGGCCAAAATGGCAGGGAAGTGCAGAACAGGCATCCCTGACCAGGAGTCAAATTGGTGTTTCTTTTCAGCACTGCTTTTAGATTTATGCCTCACTCAACAGTCAGTATCTTTGGTGTTGCAACATGGCATAAACTACTTCTCTGCTATTCCCATGTACTTATTGAAAATGAATGCAGGTTAAGGGTAAAAATATGAATAAACTTGAATTGAAATATTCCATGTAAGAATTAATTTTGAGGCTTAGCTTTCAGCATCAATTTATACAAATGGGTCTCAACTGGGTGGGGGGGATTGTCATTTGTCAACATCTGGATATATTTTTGGTTGTAACAATCCAGGATGAGGGCTGTTACTGGCGTCTAGTGGATAGAGGCAAAGATATTACTAAAGATCCTACAATGCACAGCACAGTCCCCTACAAGAGAAAATTTTCTGGCCCCAAATGTGAATAGTGCTGAGGTTGATATAACCCTGATTTATATAAACAAAATTGCACTAGCTCTAATTGCTTAAGTCATCTAGCCATTGGTGTACATGGCTATCTCTCAGGCATGTGTTAGAAAAGATTTGTGTGTGTGTGTGTGTGTGTGCACGCACGTGCATGTGCACAGGAAATTAGGCTATTTCTATAATCTGTTGAACTGTAAGGTCCTAGGCTACCCATTTATTTTACTCTTTTGGAGACTGTTACCCAGAAGAGGCCCATGGAACTATTGAAATCTGGCAAATATGAAGGTTAATGCTTTTTAGAACACATCTTAGGATGACATATGGCATCAGTGAGAGGACAGCTTCTGGTGGTCTCCATACCCAGTGTAAGTAGGATCAAGTTTGAGGGTAAGAGAAGGCCAAAGGGAAAGTTGTTTTCTGCTCTTTCTGGATGCTGTTTATTAGTAAAGCTAAGTCATTTTATTATATCTGTATATTTAAGAAATCATAGAAATTCAATGACTTAAAACATTTTCATGATTTGTTATCTTGATTGCAGTTGTAATTTCATGTAATATCTGTCTAAATTGATAAGAGTTAATAATTTAAATATGCGCAGTTTATTGTATGTAATTTTCCTCAATAACATTGTAAAAATTGTATACAATATACATTAGTACATTCTCACTGTAGAAAGTTCAAACAGTGTGTATTTTACCAAACTTGACAGTTATCCACCTCTCCTCACTCCTACTCCCCTTCCCTCTGGTAACACTGTTGAGTTTGGTTATTTAAATACATATGCAAGTATTTTACATATATCATGTAAACATGGTCATGTAAATGAAATCATAATTTTTTTCCTTCCTTTTTTTCACTTTCTATCACACCTTGGCATTCTTCTTATAGGTCTATTTCATTCTTTTTTTGTGGCTACATTTAATTTTATAATGTGTCATCCATTATTTAATCACTTAATTTTAAGGGTTTTTTTTTCTCTTTTGCAAACAGCAAAAATACTTTGTGTATACACATGATCATTATGTCTATAATCTGAACGTTTAGAAGTAGGATTGCTGAATAAAAGCTAACACATGTTGCGATTTGGATGGCTACTGCTAAATTGCTTGCTACCAAGGGCAACAGCTTACACTCTAGTCAATATTTGGGAGGGCCCTTTTTCACAGCTTTGACAATAAGGAATATTATCAATCTCTTAAGTTTTGCTAATTTGACAGACAAAAATAAATTTTGTTCAGGATGGATGTCTTTGTTTTTATCATTTTGCATTGGAAATTTGTATTTTTTATTTTGTATTGGATTAGGTATCTCGTTGATTTGTAGGAGCATTTTACATCTTATGAATACTAACTGTTTCATATATTTATAAAGCATTGTCAATGATTAAACATAGAATTACTATATAATCCAGCAATTCCAGTTCTGGGTATGTGCTGAAAACAAATGAAAGCAGAGACCTGAACATATTCTTGCACACCAATGTTCATAGTTGCATAATGCACAACAGCCAATAGGTAGAAGCAATTGAAGTATCCACTGGCAGATGAATGGATGAACAGAATGTGGCCTATATAGACAATGGAATATTATTCGGCGTCAAAATGGAAAGACATTCTGGTACATGTTACAACATGGATAAACCTTGAGAACATTAGACTAAGTGAAATAAGACAGTCACAAAAGGACAAATAATGTATGATTCCATTTATATGATGTGATGGTTAATACTGAGTGTCACCTTGATTGGATTGAAGGATGCCAAAGTATTAATCCTGGTGGCTTTGTGAGGGTGTTGCCAAGGGAGATTAACATTTGAGTCAGTGGGCTGAGGAAGGCAAACCCATCCTTAATCTGGTGGGCACAATCTAATCAGCTGCCAGTGATATAAAGCAGGCAGAAAAACGTGAAAGGCAAGACTGGCTCAGCCTCCGAGCCTACATCCTTCTCCCGTGCTGTGTGCTGGATGCTTCCTGCCTAGCCTCCTAGCCTACATCTTTCTTCTGTGCTGGATGCTTCCTGCCGTCAAACATTAGACTCCAAGTTCTTCAGTTTTGAGACTCGGACGGGCTCTTCTTGCTCCTCAAGCTTACAGACAGCCTATTGTGGGACCTTGTGATAGTGTAAGTTAATACTTCATAAACTCATATATATACACATAATAAACTCATATGTGTGTGTGTATGTGTATGTATATACACATAATGTGTGTGTGTATATGTGTGTATATATATATATATATATATATATATATATATATATATATATATTCTGTCCCACTAGGGAACCCTGACTAATAAATATAAGGTACCTAGAACAGTCACATTTATAGAGACAGAAAGTGGAATGGTAGTTGCTGGTGGCTGGGGTAAAGAGGGAATGGAGAGTCATTGTTTAATGAGGTTCACAGTTTCAGCTTGGGAAGATAAAAATTTTCTAGAGATGGATGGTGGTGATGGTTGCAGAAAAATGTGAATGTTCTAAAAGCCCCTGAACTATACACTTAAAAAATGGTAAAAATGGCAAATTTTATATTTTTTACCAAAATAACAAAATGGAAAATAAAAACATTGTTTTGTTTCTAAACTTTGTGTTTTCATTATTGACCCATTTTTAAAAATTATTCACCATGTTGGTTTAATTACTATAGCTTCATAGTATATTTGATGGTAGGGCAGCAATACAGTTTTTGTTGTTTTCAAATATTTTTCTTACTCTATTATAATATTTGTTCCATATAAATTTTCAAATCCACTCATCCACTTCTATTTTTAAAGTATTGTTGGAATTATACTGAATTTAGAGATAAATATATCTGGGGAGATATATCATAGTTATTATCCAGAATATTTTGGTTAATCACATTATTCTTACTTTTCTAAGTATAGAAAAATAATTTTTACTATTGAAAATTATTCTTATTTATAAAATGTTTTGTAATTTTTTACACCTATACTCTCTCTCCAATTTTTCTGTAATACATTATTTCATCAATAGTAGCAATTTTAAAACTGCTTATTCACATGATACACACTCAGGCATTCTCTATTGCACAATGTATTAACTGTTTACTAATTTTTTCTTTCCTTGGAAAAATGACTTAATTTGTACAAAATTAGAATAGAAATTTTGTTACTCTAATAACATAATAACACAGATATATTATTTTTTAAATTAACAAGTATACATATTTCAATTTGCAAGGTTAGCTTGTCAGAGTACTCTATTTCTTTAAGCAACTTAATTATTTTAACCTGATTTTCCCGGTGAATAAATTTTCACACTCAAAGAGAAAAGCAGTCTTTATAGGAGAAGTGAAAAAAGAGGCTAATTTTAAATGAACATTAAACCCAGTGAGGAGACTATAGTCTTGCTTTACTGGTGCCACAGATAACATTTGGTTGTTTTCAAATATCTTTTTGGAAGCTTCCATATGTTATTTATTGTAAAAATGTCCCTGGTTATGGCATTATATTAAATCAGCACCTCTTAGTATAAAACTTCAAGTCCTCGGAGAGGCATTCCAAAAGGCCCTCCATATGTACTTTCCAGCAAGCATGTGGCCTTGTCTTGCCCCACCCATCACACCACCTTCCTATCCCCTGACCAGTTACACAAACAGGTGCCTGAGCTTTTCAGAGAACATGTTCATAGAAGAAGCCATTCAGAGAGATTATACATATACTCAGAAAGGCTCTTTCTTAGTGACAGTTTTTGGTTAGTTTTAAATTATAGAAATTTAGCTGGTTTTTACATTTGTTTGGAAAATTGTTTCTTTGGCTTCAACAAAGTGGGCATGTGTCAAATTTGTTATTTGGTGATTTTGGCTTTCTGTGAATTGCTTTTTGGCAAATTAAATTGTGGAGAATTGACCAAGGCTACCCCAACTTTCTCTCTCTCTCTCTCTCTCTCTCTCTCTCTCATGTGAAGACACACTCCCATCTTACTGATTGTTCCTTCTCCTTCCTCTGTCATATGATGGCACTTTGAGAAAAAGCCTTCTAGTTTTTTCACTATTGCTCCACCATTAGTCATGTGCATATCTGTGTCCCCTAACCCTAGAGCAGCTCCTTCTGCACTCTCCTGAGTTTCTTGAGGGCAGATACTCTTACTAATCTCTGTATCCTCAATGTCTAGCAGAGGGCCTGGGACCTGTAGAAAAGCGAGCAAAAAAAACTTTTTGAAAGAATGAGATTAAATACATCTGCTCAGGTAATACAAACATTTATTTTTAATTTCCCTTTCTGAGGAACAATGCCAGATTCATGATATCCTTAATAAAAAGATTCCTGGCATAAGTGGCTCTTCGCCTGTGTCTTTCCTAGAATGCTAATTTGACATTTGCACAAAAGGTAGATCAGTTTGTCTGACTGTGGAGGGGCAGATGTTGTCAGTCTTGATTGATGATGATGCTCTAGAGTCTAACCCTCAGCCACTTGTGGCATTTCCCATCTGGTCTTCACACCACTCCATTTCTGCTATTAACATTAAACTATCCAAATATTCGAATTGAGACTTTTAAAGGAATAGTTTGTTTTTTACTGACCTACCCAAGCTAGAGGAATGATTTATAAGAAAAGAAAGTTACTGTGACTGAAATAGACACACACACACATACACATGGGTGGGGTGTACACACACACACACACACACACCAGCACCACCTTATGTTACCCCGAGGTATTCCTGGCAGTTTCTTGCTGATTTTAGCCACAGTCTGAGTAATGTCTGCTTGCCTGAGTGTTGTAAAGTTATCTCCCTTTATTAGATGAACTCTTGAATGAAGGCTGGCGGTACTGTGTCTTCCTAGTTCAATATCTGTTGTCTTTCTGCCGCCTCTCTGCAGACTAGAGGTGGCTGCAAAGGATGCCGTGGAAACGAGAGAGGAGTGCTGAACCAAAGCATTTTTCAATGCAAAGACTTCTCATTGTAACTCATAGAGTTCTTTAAAATTGTTTTGGGGAAGTTTTGAGTGTTACTCTGGCCTTCTCACTTTTATTAAGGCTGCTAAAATGGAGCCATATATAACACAGATTTGAAAACATAATCAATATAGCACTTGGAATTGTTACTTGTAAATATGAGAATTCTAACATCTCCTGGAATATTGCAAGTTCTGTGAAACTATTTTTTTACAAAAGCAAATTATAATTTATTTTTATAATAACTGCCTGGACATTCTGATAAAATCATTTCCAAATAAATTTGTCCTCATTGAATCTAAAATAGTAAATGAACTATTTAACTAACTATGCAATTTTGATTAGAGACCAAGAAAATCATGACAGTTATAAAGGCTTGAGAGACTATCAAAATAGAGTGCTCCTTATGCCTAGCTTTTTTTTTTTTTCTTTTACATGGACACTGCTAATTGGAAATAACTTGAGATAAGCTCAGATGAATGTTTCCATTAACACAAAGCAGTTGGGGAAGACTAAGGCCAGAGGTTATTTTATTATATTCTTAAAAGACATATATGTCTTATAAGGTTTGGCTTTTGTTCTTAAAATACTAGACCATTCAAAAATTGTTATTAAATATATTCAATAAAACAAGAAGTACCTAATTTTTTTTGAAAGGGAAAGAAAATCTATAAATAATGGCTAAGTGAAGGGAGGTCGCAGACTGTCTAAATTCAGCCATGTTCCTGCCTTGTTACTGACCATTTTATCGCAAAGTGAAACAGTGTGACATATTGCACTGGAATAATGATCCTGAAAAGCAGGAAATAATAGCTTTAAGTTAGGGAATATACTAGCATACAAACCAGGTATTAAATCTTATTTGTGTAAAAATGCATGTTTTTACAAAAATGCTTTTATGAATGAATTGAGTATTTTATGAGGGATACACAAATAAATGTTACTAGTGAATGATTGCCTCCAGAAAAGGGAACTGGAGAACAGGGATGGGAGAGAGACTTACCTTTCAATGTACATTCTCTTGTACTTCCTGAATTCTATATCACATGCATGTATTTTCTATTAAAATTATTTATTTAAAAAATGCTCTAGCTGGGTGTGGTGGCTCAGGCCTGTAATAGCTATACTTTGGGGGGTTGAGGCAAGCAGATCACTTGAGGCCAGGAGTTCAAGACTAGCCCAGTCAAAATCACGAAACCCCATCTCTACAAAAAATACAAAAATTAGCTAGACGGGGTGGCACAGTCCTGTAATCCCAGCTACTTGGGAGGCTGAGGCATGAGAATCGCTTGAACTCAGGAGGCAGAGGTTACAGTGAGCCGAGATCGTGTCACTGCACTACAGCCTGGGTGACAGAGCGAGACTCTGAGATTCTGTCTCAAAAACAAACAATGTTCTAAGCAGACAACTCCAATTTCTATCATTTCTACAATCAAACAAATATTCAAATCAAAAACTAAACTCAAAAAAGATTTGTATTTAAAAAAGAAAAATCTTCCAAGTCTCCTCAAATACATGACATTAGGATTTGAACTCAAAGGTAACATGATGTAGGAGCACTTATTTTCCACGGATAACTATGGAAACACATTCAGTTAATTAATAAGACTCCAAAATTATTTAAGTATATACTTATAGTGAAATACTTTATAAAAAATAAATAATACTACGCAAGAGAGTTATTAATATTTTACAGATGAGAAAACTAAGGGTCAGCTGACTACATAATTTATTCAAAGTCACAAGGCTGGTCCTCTACATAGGGCAAATTATAGTAACATTTCTGCTGTGTAGTAAACTAATGAATGATTTCAATCCTTACTAGAACCTATGTTTGGAAGATTTACACTTCAGTCACTTTAGTGTTTTGCTTTAAACATAAACATCTTTTATGGAAGGCTGTTCATATTGTCATCAGTATGCTTTAAGCAGTTCCTAATTTATAGCAATGTTTAATGTTGCTCAAGTATCCATTTGAAATGCATTATAGTTTCACTGAAAATGACCCTTTTGGGAAGGCAGCCTTCTGGAAATGGCAATACATTTCTAGTGTTTTTAAAGGATATTTTAAAAATGGCAGTCAAGTCATTTATGAGTTTTATCTTGTTGCCTGACAATTTTTACCACAAACTGAAAGACTTAAAACCAACTTATCTCACAGTTTTGGTAGTGAGAAGTGTGGGGACGGCATGACTAGGATCTTTGCTTAGGGACTTACAGGCTGAAATCAAAGTGTCAGCCATGCTTCCTTTTCACCTGGAGCTAGAGGTCCTCTTCCCAGCTCATGTGGTTGTGACAGAATTCAGTTCCTTGCTGTTGTAGGACTGAGGTCCCCACTTCCTTACTTGATGTCAGCTAGGAGTTGCTCTACATCCCTGGAGTCCACCTGCATTCCTTGCCATGCAGCCTGCTCCATTCTCAAAGCCCGTAACAGGAGATCTCTCTTGAGTCCAGTCCCAATCACATTTCAAATCCCTATCTCAAGAGGAGCCTAATTTCTTTTAAGGACTTGCCTGATTAGGTCAGGCCCACACAGGTAAGTTTTCTCTCTTAAAGTCAAATGATTTGAGATGTTAATTATAGTTACAAATTCTCTTCACAGCAGCACTTTTATTAGTATTTGATTGTATATTGATTGAGTAACTGGGAGAAGATGCTACCAGGGGTGGAAAACTTGGGGGATGTAAATGCAGTATAAACATTCCCACCACCACCACCAATCCTGTCCCCATCCCCTACTCTCTTCCCCTGGTGAGCTATCCTTCCACCAAAAAGTCAAAGAAGGGATTACATTACCATGTTACTTATATTTATTTATATAGAGTTAAATTTAAATAAGAAATTTAAATTTGGCTTTCCTGTTCATTTGAGTCTTAAAGGTCTAGGTGCAAGAGAATTTAGTTTCCCTATCTGCACTTTATAGTTGGGATAATTGATGGTCAGGGAGATGAAATTATTGGCCTCCTCAAGTTACATGGCATCCCTATCTTCATATTTTAGGTCCATGGTTTTAAATTTACTGCAGAATTTTATTTCTATAATATATTAAATATCACAATTTTTAGGTTAGTTTTATTTTTCATGATCTCTAAAAAGAACTGTTTTTTTTTCAAACCTGTGGACAAATATCGCAGAAAATAATAAAATGCAATGGTCTTACTGTTGTATGCCCGCATGAGAAAGAATTTCATTTACATCAAGAGGACCACATTGTGAAAAGCATTTATATACATTTTTTTCTATAGGAACTTATGTTTTTTTGTTTTTTTTTTTAAATAACTGTATGGGCTGGGTGCAGTGGCTCATGCCTGTAATCCCTGCACTTTGGAAGGCTGAGGCGGGTGGATAACTTGAGGCCAGGAGTTCAAGACCAGCCTGGTCAACACGATGAAACTTTGTCTCTACTGAAAATACAAAAATTAGCTGGGTCTGGTGGCAAACACCTGTAATCCCAGATACTTGGGAGGCTGAGGCAGGAGAATCATTTGAACCCAAGAGGTAGAGGTTGCAGTGAACTGAGATCACACCACTGCACTCCAGCCTGGATGACAGAGCAAGACTCCGTCTCAAAAAAATAAATAACTCTTATGATTCTTTATGGAAATCCAGAAAACAGAAACGAACTATTTTTGAAGTTTGTTTAATTAAGGCAACACTTCATTTGCCATTTTCATCTTCTGTGTGTTGGTTAATGTCAATGTGGGTGTGTTTCAGGACTTCAAGATTTTATCTTACTCAAGGTGCAACCACTCTTTATGATCGAAACAACATGGCTGGTTCAGGTGACAATGTTAAAGCCACATCCAGTATGATGTAGAATTAATGGAAAATAATCTTCTATTAATCAAAAAGTACGCTGTAATTTTCGTAGGACCAACCAGACTCCATCTTAACTCTTTCTTCTCTCAAAGTTTTAAACATAGCTGAAGTTATTGGATGGATGCTGTCTGTAAGAACAGATTGATAATTTCAGAATGTGAGTCACAGGGAAAGTGGAGTTCCATAGAACCATTGAAGGTAGCAAGGTAAAAAGGACCATAGGTAACTTCTCCTTTTACAAATGATGAAAGTGGATCTCAGAGAAGTTAAGGAATCTGCCTAAGGGCACACAGCTCAAGAAGTGATAGAACTGAGATGTGAATATCAATCTTTTGGTTCTAAATTCAGTCCTCTTTAGTTCACCAATTGCATCTGTTGGTGCAAAATGTATTGTTTCCAGTTTTTCACAGGTATTGCCATTTTTTACAACCACAGCAAGTATTTGGGAATAAAGATATGGTTTGAATTTTGTGAATCCTTACCTGTTTCACAAGCTCAGATCCCTGTCTCTATTTTCATTTCCCCAAGCCTCTTTTATGGGCTGCTGCCATCCATGTGAACCTCACTCTAACCAACTGCACATGATAATTTCCTTTGGTCTGAATGTGTACAATATGCACCAAGGTCAGTATTATTCCAAGGGGTGGGGTGATGAGAGTGGTCCACCTGCTCAACAGTAAACACAGTAATCCTTTGTACTTAGACCAAGAGAATATTTTTGGGAGGAGGAGGAATATTTTATTACTGATATTTGTAACTTCTAGTAAATAGAGACAATAAAAAGCAGATTGACTTTTAGTCACTTTTATTATTGTTTCTAAGTTTTTTACAGACCTGTCCTCCCAATGGCCCCTGTGACGCTGTCCTGGATTAAAGTACAGGAATCCCGGAATTGCTGCTTACATCTTACACACTTTCAGCCTTTCTAGAAAGTGCTCCTTATTAGACAGAAGAGAGAAAGGGAGGCAAAACACAATCATAATTTTTGAAAGCACAAATGCTTAAAAATTGAAATTATATATGAAATGTATAATATATCCCAAAATATCACTAGGAAAACAACTTCGGTAAGGAAATTGATTGTTAGACACCAGAATCTTATGAATTTTTCTGGGTTTATATGTGATTTTACACTTACTGTGTCCCCAGCAAGAAAGATATTTTAGTTTTGCTTGTCACCGGGCTCACAGAGAAGTGAATATTTTAATGCATTTTGAGTAGAAGCAGCGCTGCATAGGGTATTAAGACAGCCTGGGTCAAATCTGGACAATGTGACCACGGGCAAATTATCTAGTCTGGCCAAGCATCAGTTTCTCCATCTATAAAACAGAAATGAGTAATAGTGCCTATCTTACAGAGTAAGTGTGGGGATTAAAATCAATTACATAAAGGGCTTAGCCCTGTGCTGGCACGTATTAAATAATAAATGTTGACAATCATCATTGTCATCATCCAGGCTAAAAGATATTAAATGTAAAAAAAAAAGATTTTTAGTCTGACACAAAATTCTGGTTGTTTTCTTCATTTCTCACAAATATGAAATGAAAACACCAGTACAGGTATTTAAGGACATAACCCCAACTTAGTTGTGATTAAGATTTTTATTTAGCAAATTTCTCCAAGGGCACTAGATGGCGACCTTGTCCTTTAAGAAAAAAAAAAAAATCTAAGGTTTCATTAATTCTCTGCTTTGACATATTACTGCTACAGATTTAGAAGTAAGAAACAGAAAGTAAGGTCACATCTTTCAACACTGGATCATCAGAATCATAGAGTTTCTAAATTTTCTGGATCTAGGCTAGGAGCAGCATGGGACGGAAAGCATGCTTCGTGGGTATTAGGCGTCCTGGACTCAAACTTCTGCCCTTGAAGTGATCTTGGACTTTCCCTCTCAAGATCTAATTTTCCTCCTTTGTAATATGAGGTTGTTGGGTTAGATCATCTTCAAAGTTCTTTCAGCTGTAATATACTATGACATGTTTTTTAATAATTCAGTGTTTATTCTTCTACCAGCATGTCTTTTCTCAAGCTTTCCTTGTGGTCTAAATTAAATACTTCTTAAGCCAATGGACAAGATTTAACGTCACTAGCAATCAACATTATTTAAATTAAAACTGACCTATTCAAAAATAGTTTTATTTTGGAAGATGGGGATGAATTTTGGGTTTTGAGGTGCATGCGTGAAATCTAAGTTTAAAGGTTTATTTTTTAATAAGCAGAAGAAACATTTGAATATCTTCATTTAAGATAGTGTAAGACTTGGAAAAAACCTTTTAAGAGTCATTTTAAAACTATTTTTTTCTTCTGTAAATAAAGTTAAAGCTATGCCTAGATTTTTGAATGTGATCAAAGGTTTTTTCTAATGTATTATTTTTAAATGTCAATTATTTTAGTGTGTGTAAAATGATAATAGCAGATTAAGTTCATAGACAGAAGCAACAGAATAGCAACTGTCAACAACACTAAGAACCCTTTCTCAAACATCAGTAGACATAGCCAGACTTTAGCATCTGGTGCAATTAAGAAATTCAGATGTGGTTTAAAACATTTTTAATGTACAATAATCAGATAAGTAGAATAGTAAATAATAAATCTCCAGAATAAAATATACACCTGTTTTTCCTTTATTTAGTTGTTTCAGAAAAGGTAGAATAATTTTTTTTTTGTAAGTAGCCAGTAATTATACATTGATTTTTCTTTTTTAAGAAAAGTTACAATTTAGGAAAGAATCTCCTGGTATCTTAGTTGCAACTATTTTTTTCCTTAAAAAAATTACCAATGTGTTGACTATTATCAGAAGAAATACTTCTCATTCCCTATCAAATCAAACTCTCAAATAGTGACTTATGTTATGTAAATGCTCTCTGTGATAGATATAAAAAAGGAAATTGTAAGAATCCGTGAATACGCGATTATTCTACTGTGCAGAATAATCCTTTTAGCATAGGGTAGATGGTGGATGCACAGGTAAGACCTAAACACAGATAATTAAAGATGCAATTTCTCCCCCAAACTGGAACTGGTAGTGTGACCCAGCTTAGCACTGGTGGCCACCACTTCTGAGCCATTGAGGAAGAGATTGTGATATAATTTGGATGCTCTGTATACAAGACTGAAGGGTAGTAGATGGAAAAAAAGCCAGACACAAAAAGTTTACAGTTAACACATGGCCTTTCTCTTTTCCGTAATCATTTGGCTCATTACCCTATGTTCATCCAACTTCCCCACCAACAATTTTAGTTCACTCTGTCCAGTAAGGCTTTACGCTGAAAAACCTTGGAACTGGTATTGCCCTGTCATTCTTACTAGGGTCAGAACCATGAGACTTCAAAGTAACTAACACACACACACGCACACACACACACACACACGCCTTCCTTTCTGAATCCATCCAGGCATCAAAAATAGAAAAGAAGTAAAAGTCAAAGACCAAGATGAATTTGTGCAGGTTACTGTCTAAAGGCAGTTTAATATTTACGAAATGTCACACACATACACACACACTCACACTCTTTAGGATCCAGTTACAAGCGCTGCGTCATCCGCCAGATCACATGGTAATTGTTGCTATTTCAAGGATCAAGTGGCATAAATCTCCCCCCCCCCACCCCACCCCCTTCCCTTGGTACCATACAGCGTGGAAGAGTGAGTTTTGTGTGATGGAGTGGGACCAGGCTCTCTGATCCAACCCTCTGCTAGCAACTCGGCTGTCGGTGGGGTGGCGCGCGCGTATTCTCACGGAGTGACTAGGAGAGGGGGACGAGGGAGGGGGTCTCAGGGGAGGAAGGGCAGCTCTAATTGGTTTCTCAATGAAAGATAATCACCTACTCCCCAGAGAGGCTGGAGATTAGCACTCTGCCTCTCCTCTCCATCGCTTTTAGACTTCTCATCCTCCCCTCGGTGCTTTTAGTCCATTCAGCAGAAGCGGATCGAAGCAGGAGGCTCCCCGCGCCGCATTAGGGGCGCACTCCGCCGCGCTCGAGTACTTAGCGCCCATTCACTCGCTCACCCGCGCTCTCCGCTGCCGGCTGCCGTCCCAGCCGCCGCCGCCGCCGCCGCCGCCGCCGCCGCCCGAGAAAAAGTTTCGCGGAGGGGCTCAGTGAAAAAATGAGCGAGCTAGAGGAAGACTTTGCCAAGATTCTCATGCTCAAGGAGGAGAGGATCAAAGAGCTGGAGAAGCGGCTGTCAGAGAAGGAGGAAGAAATTCAGGAGCTGAAGAGGAAACTCCACAAATGCCAGTCGGTGCTCCCAGTGCCCTCGACCCACATCGGCCCCCGGACCACCCGGGCGCAGGGCATCTCGGCCGAGCCGCAGACGTACAGGTCCTTCCACGACCTCCGACAGGCATTCCGGAAGTTCACCAAGTCCGAAAGGTAGGCGCGGAGGCCGTGGGCCCGGGCGCTCGTCCCGGCCCGCGGCGCAGAGGCTGGGGGCTCTGGCCGCGGCGGCGGGGGCGGGTCGGCCCAGGGCGCCCCCTGCTCGCTGCGGCGCGCGGAGTGGGGGTGGCCCCGCGGCCCGGGAATGGGAAGTGTTTATTTTTATTTCTGCCCATCACGTGCTGTGCTTGTCTCCGCCGGGCTGGGAAAGGCGAGCTGCACGGGGAGACGCGCCCCTGTGGCGTGGGGGTGGGGAGGAGGACCGCGGAAAGTTTACTCGCGCGGGCTAACTTGTGCCCTCCACACATGGCTGCAGTCGCGCGGCTGTCCTTCGTGCGCCCCGCTGGGAGCGTCCACGCAGGGACCCAACCCTGCCCATCCAGGGGCCTGGAGAGCTTCCCAGCGGCGACCCCCCGGACTCAGGCCACTGGACATGCTCAGTGGGGCTGTCCGAGCCTCCTAGGGAGGGGCGACTGGAGGCTGGACAGGGTTGGGCTCAACTTAGGGACTGAACTTGCCCAGAACCCGAGCTCTGCTGGCGGATGCGGGGACAGGGAGAGGCGGGACAGGGGCTTGTCTCTAGGGCAGGGATCCAGCCTGGAGCGTGGGGGCGAGGAGGGGAGAGGTTTATTCACAGGGTCACTTTCAAGGCAGCTGTGATGTCAGCAAGACATTGCAAAGAAACCCCACCTTCTGGACGTTTCTTTGCTCTGATTGTGCCTCTTCCAGAAGTTCAACACCTAAGGCTGCTCTAGGTTTGGAGTCCGCTCAGTGACCTTGCACCTGAAGCAGATTTGAGGCTGCTCGTCAGCCCTGTCCCAAGGTGGATAGTGCGCCCTCCCTTTTTGTTTTCCCCTGAGTCCCTCCCTGGAAAAGTTGGGATGAAGAAGGCGGAGGGGTGAGGGTAGGCTGTTTCTCCGGACGCCTCTGGGCTCCTTCCTTTCCTCCTCTCCGGCACTTTAAGAGACAAATCCTGCCAGTTCAAAGTTGTATGTCACTCCTTTGGGGTGTGCAGAGGAGGCTGGGTGGATTTTGGCCACAAGTAGGAAGCTTTTGCACTCCACTCGTCGCCTTCACCGGAGAAGGCTGATCGATTGGCTGCAGCATTAAAGCGCCTCTGGACATTAGGGAGAGGAAGTGCAGACTCCAAAGCCATTACTGGCTTTTAGTCCCTGGAAGTGCAGGGCCGAAAATGCATTTCTCAGGATATTGAATATTCCATTAGGAGTGCCTTCATGCCCGCCTACCTCTCTTAATCTTTCCCTCTTCTTAGATCATTTGCTGTCTGAGTTTGGGGCCCTCAGGGGACTCCTAAACTAGTCCCCCTCTCTCCGTTTAGCTCTCTCACTTTTGAGGCAAGCTCTTCTGAAGAGCATGTCCTTTCCACTGTCCCCATCCAGGTCAGCTCCAGGGCGCTTAGTGTCTGCCACTGGCCCACTGCACCTCCTCCGTGTCTGCCTCTGGAGTCCCTCTTGTGTATTGATTATATGGGATGGGGAGCCAGGGAGGCTGAGCAGCGGTTCAGAGTTATTAGAAGAAGACCAGGAGCTGGGAGCCAGAGTGGGGAGAAAAACAGGAATCAGGCAGAAAGGACTCCTCTTAAGGAATTGTGGGACCTTCTGAACAGCCATCTCAGAAGACAGCTTTCAGATTTCCTGAGTGACATAGTGACATTCCACTTACGAATTAACACTGTGTACATGGCACCTTTGGGCCCATCTTGCCTTGAAAGTCCCTGTTGGATGGAACAGTGGCATTTTCCTTCCTTTTCTCAGGACTGCAAACAGACCTAATATTTGGCCTTGCCCTTGCCTGGGAAGCTGCTGCTGAGTCTTGTCTCAGCCGGGCTGTGCATTCCGAGCGGCTGCCCTGCCCTGCGCTCAGCAGCTGGAATCAATCTGCCCACCTCCTTAAGAAGCCACTTCATCAGCGGTCACCCGGCAGCTGCTCGCCTCCCAGGGCTGCCGGGCTAGGGCTTTATCGCATTTTTGAAATTTCAGATTTCTGTGTCTGGGCTATGCCCCTCGAACAGTAACAGCACCGCTTTGCAGCAGGGAGGAGATTTCACCAGGATATGGAGGGGACAGGAGAAAAGCCCTCCTTCCCAGAGTCCACTGTCATTCAGGATTTGCTCTCAAAGAGGCAAGAAATCTCTAAGAATGAAAGGAGGTGTTTTGTTGTTGTTGTTGTTGTTTGTATGTACTGGGAGGAAATGGCTAATCTTGGGTATGCACACATCATCCTTCTTCTGTCCTTCTCTCTTCCCCTCCCTTTCCCAACATTTTCATGTTAGGGGTAGGAACATTCATCATGAGTGGATCATGCGCAGTAGCCGTCAGTGCATATTTGTGTCTATAGCAAATAGCTGGAGTACTTTTCTACTTCCTCTCTGTGCTGATTTACACTGGGAGTGAGGGTAAACTTTTTCCCACTCAGCGTTTAGTTTCATACTTTCAAATAGAAGTGTGGAGTTTATTTTCAGCAAGCTGACTCATTAGAGTTTAAAAAGTTTTGACAGGTATAATATATGGGGAGAGTAAACATTAGAATTATGTACTCTTCTTGGCACTTAAAGAGACAGTACTAAATTGTCCTTGGCTAGATACCTTATTTTGGCCAAGAAAGGAAATAATTTATTAAAGGATTTCTGGGATACAATATTTAATATGAAACAAGATACTTTTAAAATAAAAATTGTTTAAAAATGTTCAGATAAGGATTTGACAAGTAGATATTCCATCACCTCACCTGTAATTTTTTTTTTTTTTTTTTTTTTTTTTGAGGCGGAGTCTCGCTCTGTCGCCCAGGCTGGAGTGGAGTGGTGCGATCTCCGGCTCACTGCAAGCTCCGCCTCCCGCGTTCACGCCATTCTCCTGCCTCAGCCTCCCGAGTACACCTCACCTGTTTTTTGTAAAAGGCTGTGCCGTTCTGAAGGGCATGCTGGGGCTGAAACAGAATGCGTTATTGCAAAGCTTGTGTTCAGTTATGATTTCTGTAGCATTTGAATGATAACTATTCATGCTACAGATTCATTTCAAACTTTATCAAAATACCCAGTTTTTATACCAACAAGAACAGAAATGTAGCCTGAAAGTGCAGTCGGCCCCTTCTATCCATGGGTTCCACATCTATGGATTCAACCAACTGAGGATCAAAACTATTCAGGAAAAAAAAAAAAAAGAATGATTGTGCCTGGACTAAACATGTATAGCCTTTTCTTCTAAACAATACAGTATAACAACTATTTACATATAATTTATATTGCATTAGGTGTTATAAGTAATCTAGAGATGAGTTAAAGTGTATGAAAGGATGTGTGTAGGTTTTATGCAAATACTACACCATTTTATATAAAGGACTTGAGTATCTGTGGATTTTGGTATCCTCGGAGGTCCTGGAACCAATCGCCCATGGATACTGAAGGATGACTCTGTAGGAATTTTATTTATTGAAAAGAGTGATGAAAAACTTTTGCCTATAAACACTGCTTCAATGAATGATTACAATCTTAAAAATTTACGTAATAGGTGACAAAAATATCTTAAGCATGTATCGTAGACGAAGGAAATGGAATTCATTAACGACTGTAATCTAGTCAGTCCAATTAGCCAGATTTCTATGTGTCCACAGAGGGTATAATGCACAATCTCCATTAAGAATGATCTAAGTATCTAAGGAATGCTTAGATGAAAATTATACTAGGAAAGGAAGATCTGAGCTCTCAGCATAAGTATCAAGTGTACAATACGATGATCATGTTTAAAAAGAACATATCCGACTTATTGCGGTACTCATTTTTAGATCCCTTAAGAAATGTCCAGTAGGGATCAAGTGATTATCTTTGAAAACTGCAAGCTGTTTTGGATGATGGTGATGATATTTTACATTTATATTTTAAATACTGTTTTTCTGCCAAAGAACTCCAAGTGTTTTACATAGATCTCTGTGAACTCTTGATTTTCTTAATGAATATACTCCACATCAAGAATTACCTATTATCCTTAATCCTTTCCCTTACTCTTTTTGCATACACCCAAACTCCTTATTTTGGCTGCCTAGTTAGCCAGTGTATGCTCAGGAACCGCACACAATTTTTTAATGAGTTTAAGGAAAGGCTAGAATCAATATTAATCTGTTACAGGAATAAAAATAGACGTATTCCAGACACATTTGAGTTATTCTTGTCATGAATCGCTTGATTCTTGATAATGTAAATTGATCATTTGGAACTGGAACTTCCTTTCACTGGGGCATGGATGCCTTGGGATGGATGCCCCAGAAAACTCATTACCTTTTGTCTCTCTGATCCAATTCACATTTGATTTGACCTTAGGACGAAATCAAGGAGTTTGGCCTACTTCTTATATAAGCAAGGTCAATGAAGTGAGTAGGTCTTAGCTGAATTCTGGGTCCAGAGTCAATTATTTATTAACTGATCATGTGGAAAATACACAATGCTATAAAATAGCAATGAAAGCAATAATAGAGATAGCTAATCTTAGCAATCTTAGAGCTGTGCTGAGCTATTTACCTGCACTAGCTCATCATTTTCTCACAGCAGCCCTAAAAGACGTCCCCACTTTTCAGGCGAGGAATCTGAGGCTTGAAGAAATTTAAGTCACCTGTCTAAGGTGTCACTACTAGGAAATGCCATAAAGTTTCAAACCTAAATCTCGAAGAGTTTAGAGCCCAAGTACTCAACCACTATACTATATGAACTTGGAATAGGACTGGTTCTAGTTTAGTAAGTGGGGAATCCTTCTAAATAGGAAGAAATGAACCTTCCCTAAATTAGAATGGGAGTTAAAAGTCTTAGAGCCAATGATAGGCTAACCTCATGAAAAAGTGACCAGTGAATCTTTGTATCTAGCACATGTCCATTGGATCTGCTGTGCCAGGCTGGAATTTCCTCAGTTAGCCCTGCTCTTGGGGTTGCCATTTACCAGTCCTTCATCTTCTTCCTTCCTCATCCAACTTCTCTAGCTCAGTGCTGTGTTACAGGCAGGGCATATGATAATACAGTTATGAAGGATGTGAAAATGACCTTGGTTGCCTCCTTTGAATACCCTTTGCTATTTGTCACTTGTGTCATTCATGCTAATCCCTTCATCCCTACCTTTCCCACCATCAACATGGATTGATTACTGGCTGATAATATGCCAAGATATTAACCTGTTACCTCTTTCTGATGAACGTGGTGATGTGCTAACAGGAGCTTTTGGGAGAGGATATTTATTTAATTTACTCAGCTGAGTAATATTTCTGACAAGATTTTAAGGGGAGGAAGGCTGAGGAAGGGAAAGGAAAATTTTTAGGCAGCACGGCTTGTAAACATCCTTGTATCTTGCCAGATGTGATTTGAAGAGGACAGGGCTTGAGCATAAGCACTTCATACATGCTTTCAGTCAAGGCTGTACAGGAGGTGGTAGTGTCTTGATTTTAGTGATGAGAAAACTGAGCAAATCCTCGTGGAAGTGTCCTTTAAAGGATCTCGGAAATAAGACCTGAAAGAAAATTTGGGTTGTTTGTTTTTTTATTTTGCATCGGTACCAGAGTTGGTGAATTGAGGTCTTCAACTTATCTGTTTAACTTGTTATTTAAGACACATTGATTTTGCTTTGGGGTTAGTTCAAGTTCCAGAGTCTTGTGCATTTTCCAAATGTATTTCTAATACACCAGGAGTTCTTGTTCCATTTGAATTACCAATATATGCACAGGTTGAAAGTTTACATTTAATCATGTATTCACTGGAAATTTGACCCTCATGAAACTATTTCTAACAGACCTGAAAAAACAAAAGATGTCGTATCTTTTTCCTCTTTCCTGACTACGGTCCTGTTTCCTAGTGCCCTCTCACCATAACATGTAAGAGATGCTGAGAGTGCGTTAAAACCTTTTCTTTTGATAAGATTTTCAGGTGATTTCATAGTTGCTCAGGGTATGAATAATTATTTTCATTTGCCATTGAGAATCTGCTTATCAGAGTTCAGGACCCTTGTTATCTAGGTTTCTTGTAGCTCTTGGAAGTTACTGTGAGCTCTGAGATAAACCAGGGATAGCATATCCTGTTTCACAAAAATGAAAGCTCAGAAGTTTGGGAATTGTCAGAAAGGAATACTGACCTTGAGTCTAGAGTCATTGGTGTGCTGTGCTTTTGGGTCCCTGAAGAGAAAAGAGGAAGTAAAAAATAATAATTTAAGGGAAAAGAAAAATATGTGTATACATATGTGTGTATATATGAACACATACACACGTGTCAAACTGTCACCACTTTATTAAATTTACAAATGTGCATTTCTTATAATAATTATTACTGTGAAAACCCTCTAGGTTGATCCAAATCAGTTTCCTATGGAAAGGAGGGTTTACTTCTTAGGTCTGTTATTATAAGTAGATCACAGCATCTTATAGTTTGTAAAATGCTTGTGCTTCATATTAGTCACATAGCCCAGTGCTTAGCCCGGAAAAAGGTACTGGATTCAGTGTTTGCCACTCCTTGTTGAAGTATTTCATCCTTCTTTTACCCAGTGATGATTTTTCTTCTCCTTTTCCATGCTCCTGGATCTGCCTGTGTTGTGTGTCCCTCTTTCGGGTCCTTGTATTTCTTCTGGCTTAACATCTGTAACTCCTGTTAGATCTGTTTTATTTGCACAAGTCATATGACAGCAAATATGGAGCAGATTTCTTACTCAAACTATTACTCTAATCTCTTAAAATCTTTCATGTTCTCAGATGTCTCAGATATTATATAATTTAAATTTTCTAAGGTTTCAGAAATAATTATTTATTAATCGTTCATGTTGAAAATACATGGTTTAGGCTGGGCACAGTGGCTCATGCCTGTAATCCCAGCACTTTGGGAGGCCAAGGTGGGCAGATCACTTTAGGTCAGGAGTTTGAGGCCAGCCTGGCCAAAATGGTGAAACACCGTCTCTACTAAAAATACAAAAATTAGCCAGGCATGGTGGCACATGCCTGTAGTCCCAGCTGCTTGGGAGACTGAGGCAGGAGAATCGCTTGAACCTGGGAGGCAGAGGTTGCAGTGAGCCAAGATCGTGCCCCTGCACTCCAGCCTAGGCGACAAAATGACAGAGACTCCATCTCAAAAAACAAAATAACAACAACAACAAAACAAAGCTTTAAAATATTTGCACCCTGCAAAATGGATATATCCAGAAAATGTATGTCTTTTAAATAGATTTGTTTTATTATATAATGACTGGTAGTAGAAACTAATCTCCCTGTTTTACTTATTGCTGTTCTTAAATAACAGAGTTCGTTTTAAAAATGCTTAACTTTCTCTGCACTGCTCACTAAACATTATTGATGGATCACCAACTTTGGGGTATACTATGTTGATTTTATTTTAAACATTTTAAAATTGTTTCTTACATATGAATATGATAGAAACCCATACTACCTTAGAAAATTATGTAGTTTTAAATTCAATCAATATTAAGTTTATATTGACTCAAAAGTTTTAAAACACTGTAATTTTTCCTGTCCAGTGTGCTAGCCGCATCTTCAACCTTTTTCTAGTACATATTGATTTTATATATTCTTGGAAATTAGTCCTAAGCAGTTAATTTGTTATTCAAGGATTTGATTTGGATTGATTTTGTTATGTATTTGAACCCACTGATAGCACTTTCATGTGCAAGATGATAACATGACTGTGCTGATTTCATCTGAGTGTTTATTTATTAAGGCAAATCCAGGAAGATGACTACTGTAATCAGCTTGTTAGGATTTAGTTTGACTGTTTTATTTGTAATAGGTATATTGCAACTACACTTCTTCAATTATCCTCTCGGACTTATTCCTAATTCAGACTCTCCTTCCTTTTTAGTCCAATTTAGAGAGTACTTTAAAATGTGTTTTAAATTCTCAGATGTGTCTTTATTTGAGTACTCTGACCTCAAATGCTGGAAAAGTACTGGCAAAAACCTTATAGGGTTCTAAAAATAATTGTATGTTTGCCTCTTGCAAATATTTGTGGGTCTATTTATTCAACTATATGGTACTGTTATTGTCTAATAAGCAAATCTATAAGCCTTTGGGTAAATGTTAATATTTTTCTTGATGCTTCTCATTGCCCCCATAGTGCAGATAATACTAATTTCATGTATCACATGGTCACCAAGGTACTTGGCTACATATGCTAAAAATTTTCCAAATAGAAAATTATTTTGTATCTCAGGTTGTAAACCCTTGGGTAGAAACCAGGTCTGTTTACAGTAAAAATTCCAGCCAAGTAAAAACCTCAGCTTACCATACATTTCTCTTCCCACATGCTACTTTTCAGAGAAGAGGTAAGAGGAGCACTATCTAGAACGTATTAAAAAACAAATTTTAAAAATCCTGAAGCCTTCCCAAGAATAAAACCAGTTCACACTCCATTTGGTCTCCTCTCAGAGAAAAATATCACTCCAAAATACTCAATCCAATATCCTGTGCTTTACTCTGGCAGGTTTAACTGTGGTGCCATGACAATGGTGTGTATTTGATTAGTTGTAAGGTAGAAATGAGTAAATAATGGCTTAAAAATCAAAATTCATGAATAATTTGTTTCTTAAAAAATAAGATTGCGTGCACTCACAGGCACCTCCCGAGGGATAGCCATTTTCTTGCATTCCAGTTGGCTTTCTTGACTGGGAAGATTACAAATACATGGCAGGAAATTGCACATAATCCACAGACAGTCTTGTCTTTTCACAAGAGTATGTTGCACATGGGAATGTCATCTATCTTGTGAATCACTGCAGAAAAAAATGTTTGAGAGCCTCTGATCTGAGCTATGGTTCTGAAAATCAGAATCTTGACTCTGTGTCACTTAACGCTAATTATTTATAAGTAAATGTAAGATTCACTAGATTCTACTTAGCCAGCACCTGAATTTCATAACAATGGTTCCCAAAGTGTGATGTTTATATAATTGGTGGCACCAGGGATGCTTCTATGTGGTAGAGAAGTGAATTTATTTTATAGTTATAGATATTTTAATAAGTGTTGGGAGAAAACATACAACAATCACATCAAATCCATGCTGTGTAGCTATGTTGCTGAGGGTAAGGCTAAGTATTAAGAGTTCATAGATTTTTTTTTTTAAGAATGAGGTGTAAAAATACAGATTGTGCGTAATGTCAATAAGGGTACACAAGAAAGTTTTGGGAAAGATTGTTTTAAAGTCATTTTCAACAAGGAATGAAATGGATTGTTCTCCTGTTTGTGTTTTTGCTCCCCACTGCCCTGTTTGAAGAATTCTGGCCGAGTTCTCTCTGTATCTGTGTTTGAATGACTCCTTGCATGCTGTTTGTCAACTTCTTCATAGGAATTGCTGTGGGGACATAGAGTTAGATGGAGATGGTGGTTTTCATGAAATATATTCTTGCTTTGAGGATAAGTCATTCTGGTTAAAAATTGCTCACATTAATACATCATCAGAAAAACATTTGACTCTCATCCTCCTTCAGATTTATAAACTCTCTTGCCTTGAGACAGTGAGGTCCATGGCTGAAGAGGCCAGCCTAGAAATAATAAAGGATGCTGGGGCACCCACTTCCATCCAGTCTGGGTTCCCTGGGGAGCTCTCACTTCCCGTACTGTCTCCACAGCGAGGCCTCTCATTTCCTCCTCCAGGCTCCTTCTTGATTCCTGACAGTAGATGCCTGTGGCTGTGAAGAGCCATTCCATCATGTGGTATTTTATAGCAGAAATACATGGTGCTTCCCCCGACTCCTTTCTTTGTAAAGAAACAATTTGGAAAAAGTTTGGAAGGGAAAAATCTTTGATAGGATACACATTTATTTTCCCTTAATCTGTTCCCTTTCCTTGTAGAAAAAAAATTAGATTATTCCAAATTAAAACTATGTGTTTTTTGTATTAAATTATATTGTTAAAAGGAATGGCTTTGTTAAACGAGAAAAATATAAGGAGAAAAGAAGTATATTACATACAGGATGAGGAATTTGCAAACATCCACTTTTCTTTCTAGAGCATTGTTCAGGTCATCTCCCCTATGGCTTAAGAAAGGGAATCCTTAAGGTTTGAGTAGAAGTACCCTCCTAAATGTAGGAAAAACAACAAAAAAGAGGTGGTACGGTGGGGAGAAGATAGAGGGGGAGACATAGAGAGATTTCAACCATTACCACAAGATGGCAGCAGAAGTATAATATTTAACAATTGTGGGCTCCACTAGGAGTTTGAAATGGCTTTTAGTTGAATTTTAAAATATATTGTCAAATATATAACTTTCTCAATATCAGGATTTATAAGTTTGAAAAGTGTATTATCAAGTACATATGGTCTTACATTTTTTTCCAGTTAGTAGTGGTTTTGGGGAATATATTTAAAAAGCTAAATTTTCTTCTCGATGTTTGTCTTAAGGAATAGAGAAACAAAGAGTACAGTTTGCATGGAGAGTTCTTTGAACATTGACTCTGGGAAATTCCTAAAACCCCTATGAGGAAACCTCTGGACTTATATTTGGCTGAGAGGAGAAAACAGAGAAATAATGGAAAATTAATAGTAGTAAAAAAAAAAAAGTATGTGTGAGGAGACTAAAGGAATGGCTTCCTATTCACTCCCTTCTACCCCCATAACAAATTAAAAGAAAATTATTATAGGAAAAAATTAGATCAGTTATTAGATGAAACTCATAATAGGTTGCTTGATCTCCTTGATAATTCTGTGATTCTAGAATGTAATTAATTAAATCTTAATGTGGCCTATTGTAATCTGAGATTCCCATTATAAAAATATTTTAATAATCAAGTTAATATGATTATTTATTTACATGTATCTAAATATTTTTAAGAGAATAGCAAAGTGTTTTATGAGATACTCTACTCTGAATATAAACTGCCTCTCAAAAATTTTAGGGTAAAGAGTAGTCTGGCTTATACCACACAGGGTTACATTGTGGGTTGGGTCTAATGGGCTGTACATTTTTGGATCAATATTCCCTCAGAGAGTGCCATTCAGCCTTCCTGTAAAAGGCTATTTCATTCAGTCTGTGACCCCTTTCATGTGAAACCTCCCAGGGGCCTGGATGTGAAGCAGTCTTGCTACTGGCATCATTTGTGATTTAACGCTGAGGAGAAATGTACTTATTTTGGTCTGTCCCAGCAATCAAGGGTCAGTGGTAAAAGGAAGTTGTACTCTGGGTCAAAACAAGTCAGTTTTGGATTAATGCTATTCCTTGGCCTCTTTAATTGGTCTTTTTGCTCAGATACTGTGTTAGATCATACTTAGATAAACAGGCAAGAAGGGAACTTGAGAATTTAGAACAGTTCACATTTTCATGCCCTGTTTGACAATAAGATGCTTTTATAAAAAGTGTTTTGAAATTCTGTGATATATTTATTTGAGGTTATCAATGTATAGAAATGCTCTCTGGGACAGTAGTCAATATGTTTCCTAGGTTAGGAAAAAAACAATGTTACACTGTCTATGACTGCCAGAGAGAACCAAGGGTAGATTGAATGTTGGGTATGCTTTCTCGTGTCTGCAGGGCCAAAACAACAACAACAACAACAACAACAACAACAACAACAACAACAACAGAACACCTAGCCTGCATTGGACATAGTGAAGCAAGCAATAGACAGTAATATCTTTTATTTTCTCTGATCTTTCTAGTTTGTTATCTAGGCCAAGACAAATTCCCGAAGTATAGCAGCAGGGTTTGAAGCATGCTACATTGAAATCCCCCGGTTACCCAGACTCACCATCTGACTCCAGGGCATCACGAGAGGTGTCCACACAAAAGGAGACAGGCTGTGGAATCTCTGGGCTTCTTGATATTAGAGCAATTAGAAAAAGAAGAAAAAGTTTCTGTTTTGTGGTACCAAATCCCCATTTGCCATGTTAAAAGTCCGGACATGCTTTTGTGATACTTATGAGCATACGCTAAATCTCAGACTTGCTGACTTTAATCTCTTCTTAGCCTATGTCTGCTTCCTTGATTGTTTTAATTGCAAAAACAATGTGTGCTGGTTGTCAGATAATAAAAACATAAACATTTTATTTTCTCCTCCCAATCTTTCTACTTGTCTTCCAGCAGATACCCAATGTTAAACTTTCCGTATGTTTCCGTAAATCTTTATATGTAGAGAGAGAACTCACCTGCTTATTTGGAGGGTTTTATTTTTTCACCCGAAATAAAATAATTCCATAACACTCCTCAGTAACCTGCTCTTTTTGCTTAATAATAGTACCTAGGCTTCTTTCCAGATCAGTCCATATTGGTCTTTCTAATAGCTATGGAATAGTAATTCCATAGTATTCATGTACCTCAGCTTATTGATACTGATATTTTGGCAAGTTTTTTGCAAGCATTCAATGCTGCAATTGATATTGTACACATTTTCTCATATGTTATTTATGTATTTATTTATAGGATTAATTCCAAACAGTGAGAGTCCTAGGTCAAAAAAACTATTAATATTTGACTTTTTTAGTTTATGTGATTATACATACACTTCCTATATGAGATAAATGATCTATAAACTTTTCTATTAAAAAATGTATACTGGCCGGGCACGGTGGCTCATGCCTATAATACCAGCACTTTGGGAGGCCAAAGTGGGCAGATCACCTGAGGCTGGGAGTTCGAGACCAGCTTCACCAACATGGAGAAACCCCGTCTCTACTAAAAATACAAAGTTATCCGGACGTGGTGGTGCCTGTAATCCTAGCTATTGGACAGGCTGAGGCAGGAGAAGTGCTTGAACCTGGGAGGTGGAGGTTACAGTGAGCCAAGATTGTGCCATTGCACTCCAGCCTGGGCAACAAGAGAGAAACTCTGTCTCAAAATCAGAACAAAACAAAACAAAAACAAAAAACAAAACAAAAAACTGTGGGCTGGCAGCATAAACAAAATTAATTTTCTACATTAAAGACAGACAGAATTAAAAAAAATCAAATGTGCAAACTTAGTGGAAACGTGGAAGGTTCTTTTTTTTATACTTGAGTTACATTCATGAGAATGCTCTTTTCGGAATGATGTTTACATGCCCTTTTACTTTTCAGGTTTATAAAGTCCATATTGTGCACTTGGTTTGATGTTTGTGGGTGTGTGCCTGTGTGTGTGTTTAAGCTGAAAAAAAAAATTAATTGCTACAGTGTAATTTTGAAAATAAGGAAAATAAGGATAAAACTGTATCTATTGCTCTTAAATAAAATAACCACAAGTCCTTCTCTAAGAATCATAATGATTTGTTTTTCTTTTCATCAAAATAAATTTTTGATATTCTAGCTCCCACTTGGGAAAATAACAAATTCCAAGTCTCTCAGCTACTTTTTTTTCAAAAGGCTAGTAGGGAGATTTGGACATATATGGTATTGGAACCACTCAGTGGAGATTTCCTTTTATAGGATGGCAACCTCGGTAGAGATTTCATTTCATTATTTTTTTCTTGGTCATTGTAGTGATATTGGACTAGATTTACTGAACGATATCTTTGCAAACATTTATTTGGATCAGAATTCAATCATATTAAGGGTATTCAATCGTGTGATTGGAGCCAAAAGGTAAAATCATTTTGGGGGAGGAGGAAGGATAACCTTAGAAATTTCAGCCTACTCTTGTGCAGGAGTAACAGGGTAGGTTGTGATAATTAAAAAAAAATAAAATAAAATGATCCCGGGAATCACAGATTTAAAAGTTTTAGAGCTTTTGAAAAATTTAGTTTTGGTAGTAAGTTTATAGTGCCTCTTGCTTTGAAAGGATTTTAGAAGATATCTTTGTTCGTCTCCTTTGATGGACAAAACAAAAATGACAAATCAAGCAAATATCAAGAAGTTCAGAAAGACTGATATTCCAGTGACATGGTAAGCTGGACATTTGTAAATTGGAACAATAGGACAAAAGGAAATGAGATGGTTTAGGTATTATTACCATATTAATAACATAAAGTGTCTTTTTATGATCTGGTTTGCAGATCACAAAATGTGTTGTCACTCAGGTTAACACCCCAACCAACTCTAGAATGAATTTCTTAGCAGAGCCGCTTTTGAAGGCCGAGTTTAAACGAAACACTGTGATGAATTGTCCATAAGGCAGGAACCCTGAGGGGACCAGCTATTTCAGGCTCAGGGAAAGACACTGGAATTGCTGGAAGAGCTGCTCAGAGTGCTAGAATGTCTGAGTGGGCAGGGATCATTGACAGTTGTGCATATTTTTCCAGGCTGGGTGCCTTATTTCACAAAAGCCTTTCTCTCCCCTCCTCTCATTGTCTATTCGTTGTTCAGTTCTCAGGAATAATGAGGGGATAACTTTTCATATCTGGTGGAGTTGCAGATGTAGAGATATGGGTTAGGGGCTGTTTGTAGATATTCTAACGGTGCAGTTGACCTCAGTTTCAAACTCTGAAGGCTGGAGGGGGAGGTGTGCTTCCACTGAACTTTCTCTGTATGTGCCCATCTCCCCATGTCAGTGTTAAGCCTTTGTGTAGCCCCAGTGCCTGTTTGCAGCTTAGAGACTGGTTTTACTGTATTTGAGCTTTTTCATGTGGACTAATACTATTTCAGATTTTATTTCTCCCAAGGCAGTTGGATCTATCAGTCAATCAGCTAATATGTGGGAAGACATATGAACTATTTTGGAGATCCAAAGACACTTTGTGTCCGTACTAACCTGACGTTATCATGCAAAAATACACACAAAACCACAGCCTCTTCAATTATTAAAAACCTCTCAAGGTTGTTGAGAGGATTAAATGAGCTCATGCATGTAATAGATTTAGTTTATTGCCTTATAGAATGTAGTCATTCAATAAATGTTAGCTCTCATTGTTATCATTTATTGATTCTGACTTCATTCACCAAATATATAAGAACTTTTAACCCTGTGACAGGAATGGGCCCATGTGTATTCTTCCCATATTTCTAACTCTATACTTGGATCTAATTTTGCTCATTGAAATAGCTCTGACCCTATTTTCGGAGTAATTTCCTGAATCACAGATGGTACTCTGACATAGGTCATATTTAGGACTTATTTTCCTTTCTTTCTTTTCCATCCATGGTGTTGTCTCAGTTTTCTTTCCATGCATTTCACGCCCCCTCCCCACCACCCCATTACAATATAAACTTATTACTCTAGAAGGAAATATTAGAAACTTTTGTATAGTGATATATTTAGCTGTGCTAAGACCACCTCTGCAGCTATCTACTCTCTGAGCTGAATAAACCAAGGGCTTCTCAAACTCTAGTTTACATATGAATCATCTGGGGAATCTCCTTCAATGCAGGTTCTGATTCAGTAGGTCTGGGGAAGGGCCTGAGATTTTTTTTTTTTTTTTTTTTGAGATGGCGTCTTGTTTTGTCACCCAGGCTGGAGTGCAGTGGTACGATCTCAGCTCACTGCAACTTCTGCCACCCTGGTTCAAGCGATTCTCCTGCCTCCGCCTCTGGAGTAGCTGGGATTACAGGTGCCCACCACCACACCTGGCTAATTTTTGTATTTTTAGTAGAGATGTGGGGGGTGGGTTTCACCATCTTGGCCAGGCTGGTCTTGAACTCCTGACCTCGTGATCCACCCACTTCGGCCTCCTAAAGTGCTGGGATTACAGGCATGAGCCACTGCGTCCGGCTGGGCCTGAGATTCTTAATTTGTAGTTATCTCTCAGGTGTTCCTGATGCTGCTGGTCTCCTGAAGACCATTAAATAGCAAGGGATTAATTGATTCTCTCCAGTTTCTTCCTCCTTTCCTTTTACCATCCGAGTTAAGTTTTCTACACAAATAAAGTGCAATCAGACACAATAATGCAAACTAAGCTATTAATGATAAATTAACAGGGATTACATTGTAAGATGAACTCATTACCTAGGAAAGCCTACAGGAAACCTTCTGGTATTCTTGTCCCTTCTAGGCCATAAGCACACACAGCTGTAGAATATAAAGGCTAAGAGCATGGACTGTGGAATCAGATGAGCTTGAGTTTCAAGTTTCTGATATCTTAGTCATGTTGCTTAACATCTTTGACCTTCAATTTCCCCCGTAAATGAGAATAAGAAGGCCCACCTGAAACTAACGTTATGCAAAAGACCTGTTGTAAGCATGCCCTAAACAATGGCCATTGCTTCTGTAGTTTTAATATTAGTGTTTTGGAGACAAAGTCAAATTTAAAATGTGATTCAGAAGGAATTTTAGTTGAGATATAATGGGAAAGTAGGAAATACTAATTCAGCATTGTTAAGAGCTTACTTTGTGCAAGGTACTTTATTGGCATGAATTAATTTGCTCTTCTCAACAATCCCATGGTGGTTTCATGGTGCCTCCAGGCAGGAATTGTTCCATGTGCTCTGTACAGAGGAGGAGACTCAGTGCAAACACATCAAGTGACTCATCCCAAGGCTTGCTGGTCCAAGACGTCTGGCTCTAGGGCTCTGACACTATACTACATGATAATCAACAGCAGGAACATAGGGGAAAATTGGAGGAAATTGGGCTTTGTGAAGACCTTCAGATCATTCATATGCCCAGTTCTTCTCAAACTGTAGTACGTATAAACATCTCTTGGGTTCCATTTGTTGCAGTGAAGACTCCTAGGCCCATCTCCAAAGATTCTGGCTTAATAGGTAGGCTTGGGGAATTTGGGACCAGGAAATTTGCTATAACTCCTTGAGAAGTAGCTTTCTAGGTATATACTGCAAGAAGGGTGACTATATGCATTCATTTCTTAGTTCTGCTGGAACACATCGCCACAAACTGGGTGGCTTCAAGCAACAGAAATTTATTTACTCCCAGCTCTGTAGACTAGAAGTTCGAATTCAAGGTGTCAGCAGAGCCATGCTCTTTCTGAAAACCCTAGGAGAGGAGCTTCCCTTGCCTCTTTCTAGCTTCTGGTGGTTGCTGGCAACCTTAACCATTCCATGACTTGGACTTGCATTCCAATCTTTGCCTTCATTTTCACATGGTTGTCTTTTCTCTGTGAGTATGTGTGTCTAAATTCCCCTCTTGTAAGATTACTAGTCATTCAATTTGGGGCCCACCCTAATCCAATATGATGTCGTCTTGATTACATCTATAAAGATGCTGTGTTCAAATAAGGTCACAGTTGTACCATACACCTGTATTTATCTTCCTTCAAGCCCAAGATATGGAGCTGTGACTTCTGAAGTCTGCTGAGCCCATGGAAAAAAAAGATTTTGGATGAGATGAAGAGAGTAAAGGACACATTTAGGTATTTATGATACAAGGTTTTGTGGAGGCTTTTTCACCTGCCATTTCCATCTGCCCTCCCTCCTTCTCCCATTTTCTTATTTTTCAAAGGATATGGTGTTGATTGATTGTCCTTTGGTTCAGATGAAAGTATTAGTCTCTGGTGGCTCCATGAAATGTCACACATCTCTGATGGTTTGTGGTTCTCTTGTTTTCATGGTATGAGTTTTATAAGGATTTATAGGGAAACAAAATTGGGCTTAAAATGTGAGACAACTTCTGTAGACTGTAGTTTTCTTACCTGTAATTTTAGAAGGAAAAAAAACCCTTCTATGCTATAATTTCAATGCCTTAATTCCCTATAATTTTGGTAACTTGTTTCTTTAGGGTTACAAAGAACAAATGGAATAAACCACAAATAGATATATTAGGATAAAGATAGATTTTCTTTGGTGTATTTATCTAACTAATTTAGAAAAGCTTTAAATGCCAATTAAATTATACATTTTGAAACACAGTTATATTTAGGGATAAACTATTTTTAAGTTAACATTATTCTCTGCATTTAAAAGTAGAATTTAAATAGTTCTCCCACCTCCACCTCAATCTAAGGTGCACACACATACTTTTAGCTTTACTAGAGGGTTTTTGTTAATGTAGTCTATAACAGAAATTGAGGATTTCTGTTATGGTATTTCTATTTTACTATCATACCACTGAAAAGTTAAGCTTTCTCTTAAGAATATAAGAAAAATTTAAGAGACAGCATGAGCTAGTTGAATAGTCTTATTAGTGAATTAGTTTTATATAAAATAAATTATACAATGGACATTCCAGTTATCATCTGAAAATATAATTTAGAAATTTATGATAATATATTTCTTTCTGGGTCTATTTAATTCAGAAACATTCTCATACAAGGTGGTTCAAAGAATCCAGATTTCTGGGAATGGTTTTGGACTTCTTGAAGATATAAAATATTTGACAATGCATTGTTCAATATGGAATCGTACTTTTGGAAAGAAAATCTGCCAGAACATTCATGCTACCCAGAGAGAAGTATCATTCTCCATTCTCCTCAAAATTGTATCTTCTTTGCTTTGATTCTCATACGCCTGCTATCAGAGATTTTGGAAAGTTTCTCTTCTCTTTATTGTAAAAGATCTCAGGTATAATTCAAATGGTTATTTCATTTTATAGAAACTTTACTGGAAATGTCCAAGTGCCTTCAGCAGTGGAAGGAGGGGTCAGGAGAGGGTGGCTCCACTGGGAAGCATGATTGGCCTCTGATTTGTGGGAATTTTCCAGGGCCATTGTTTGTGCGAAGTTGTGTTAAGAATGTAGGTTGAAAGGTAGATGTGGAATTCCATGGAGCACGTGCAGAAAAGCGAATTCTACTACCCAGCGTAAATCATTCGCTCTACATTAAGCATCTTTGCCAATTATTTGGGTGAGGCCATTAATGGCATCTCACTCAGATTTGCACAGGGCAAGATGCTGTGAGGATTGCTTATTATGTTGGAAAACAGAATCAAGATCCCAAAAGATTATGATGGGCAAGAGTAGTGATTTATAACCCTATTTCAGACAATGCTTTCCTTTTCATACCAGATATTTCCTAATGCTCCCTCACTATGCTGAAATTAAATTCATCAATAATATAACCCATCTGCACACATAATTGTGTGTATCTATGCATATATATATATGTGGTATCCTAACTATAATATAAACAAAAGATAGGGGAACATGTATCATGAAATAATACTTGCTTTAGTAAGTGCTTGAACTGTCCAAGTTGGAGATGATTGCTGGAAAAGGGCTACACAGTAAGTTGAACTGAAGATGTGAAGTGCTTGTTCCTAATCCTGAAATCATTTGATGTAACAACTGAAAACAAATACTAGTACTGATGTGTTTTACAGGTTACTCTGGTGCCACTGGTGGTGTTTGTATCAAGTGACTCAGTTTTCCAAAGTGATGAACATCTCTCTGTAAAGTTTTTAACAAAATAAAGTACTCTCTTTCCTTAATTTACATTTTTGTTGAATTTACAGCAAACTTAATTTATAGCCACGCAAAAATAAATACTTGGTTTACATGTAAGACAGACTTTGATTCTAGGCTTAGATAATATGTACAGATTTTTCTCCTGCCTGAATGGCTGGTGAGAGATTTGAAGGCACAGGGGTTGAAGGATAATTATTCAAATTGTGGGATTCTCCAGTGGATCCTAGCACATCATAACTAAAAAGCACCAATAAATTTCCTAAGTTACCACAAGGGGGCAGTAACGCCCCCACTGAGAATCACTGGGCAAATGGTGTTTCTTAGCCTTGCAACTATGGATATTTTGAATTTTGGATCAGAGAATTATTTGTTGTGTGTGTGTGTGGGTGGGGAGGGGGCGGTGTTGAGGGGAGAGAGTGCTGTCCTGTGTATTTTAGAATGTTTAGCAGCATCTTGGACTCTACCCACCAGTAACACCAGTAATACTCTACCCACCAGTAACAGCCCTCCTGACCACCAGTTAGGGCAACCAGAATGTCTCCAGACACCACCTCTTGTTCCATGGTGGGTAAATTCACCCGCAACTGAAATCACCAAACAAAATAAAAAAAATGTTTAACGAAGAATTAATGGAAAAATTTTCCCTAGAAACCTTGAAACTTCATACTTAGAAGTAACCTCATAGAAGCATTTTTGAAAAGATTTAGGATTTGTCTATAAGTAATTTATGAATCAACCAGGAGAAATGGCTGCCAAAAATTATTTAATGATTGATTTATATACATAAACATATCAACATTTAAGTGCCTAAATTTATTTTATTTGGTTTGACTCCTGTTTTAGTCAATAAAGGATTTGCAGCCACTTAATCAAAAATATAGAATCACTAATGGAAAATGTGCCATTCTTGCCTTACTCTGGGTTCAGTTGTGGTTACTTTAACAGGGACAGTTATTTGTATATTTGAGGAAAGGTAGTTCATGGCTATCAGTCTATTCTCATGCTGCTGATAAAGACGTATTGGAGATTGGGTAACTTATAAGAAAAAGAGGTTTAACGGACTCACAGTTCCATGTGGCTGGGGAAGCCTCACAATTGTGGTGGAAGTTGAAAGGCATGTCTTCCATGGTGGCAGGCAAGAAGAGAACTTGTGCAGGGGAACTCCCCTTTATGAAACCATCAGATCTCATGAGACTTATTCACTATCACAAGAACAGCACAGGAGAGACACACTCCCATGATTCAATTGCCTCCCGTGACATGTGTGAATTGTGGGAGCTACAATTCAAGATGAGATTGGGGTAGGAACTAGCCAAACCATATTGCATGGGTTCTGCATGGTTTCAAAAAGTAGAAGGAAGACATGATTGCAAGTGAAAGAGTGGTGTTTCCAGCTCAGGGTAAGGAGGAGCTTTCTAGCAGAGTTTCCTGGTTGTTCTGGACTGAACTGCTTTGGGAGGAACAATAAGTAGTGAATATTCAAGGAGAGGGCTGTTGACAGCTGGCCTTGAGAAAGTAAAATCTTAACGTCTTAAGGTTGGAGATAATTCTAACAGTGATATGTGTGTTTTTATCCATTCAGTACTTCTATCCCCTCTACAAGCATCATATTAAGTAGTCATTACCTCTGTAATTAAAGAGTTCCATACCAGTCTACCTCCCTTCCAAGACCATCCATTCCAACCACCCATGGGCATACAATCAGTGAGTGGCTGAGAAGGTACCACCAATATTCAGAATTAAGGCACGCATTTTAAAACATATTTGAAAGACCATTCACTCATTTATTCATTCATTCAGCAACTATTTATTGAGTGCTTACTTTGTGCCAGTCATCATTCTAGGTGCTAAGGGCACAATAGTGCAAGTCATTGGAGCCTGGTCTAGTAATAGAGACAAACAAATGAGAGAACAAATAAAAAGACAAAAAAGTCAAATTGTGATGAATTATAACAAGGCAGTAAATAAAGGTGCAATGGCAGAAAATAAAAGGGAGAGGGAAGAGTCTATTTAAATGGTATGGTTGGAGATAAACTCTTTTCTCAGGTGGCATTTAAACTGAGACCTAAAAGATGAGAAGTAGATTGTTCTAACATTGGGAAATCACTTTAGACAGAAGGAAGAATATGTGGAAAGGATGTGCATGGGCAAAGACATCGGCATGTTTGAGGTCCAGAAAAAAAGTCCTGTAGCTGGAATACTGCAGTGGGTGACAGGAACGGTGGCACGCAGTGAGTTTCCTGAAGTATAGAAGGTCCAGCTCATCCGAAGGTAGTAAAGGTTAGAGGTTAAGAACATGAACCAAGGAACAAGAGAAACTGCATTCAAGTTATATTACTTTTTACACTTATTTTTCATCTGCAAAATGGTTTATGAAAAATATATGCCCCATAGAGTAATTGTGAGAATTAAATGAGATTATAGGGAAAGTGCTTAGAACAATGCTTGCAGTTATGGATGTTGGGTGTTATCACTGCTGCTGCTACTATTACTACCACCACTAGACTTGCAGACTATGTTAAAAAGAAGGCAAAGCCATTGAAGGGCTTTTCAGTTTCGACCATTTAGTAACACTTATTTTTTTGAGATGGAGTCTCACTCTGTTGCTCAGGCTGGAGTGCAGTGGTGCGATCTCGGCTCACCACAACCTTCACCTCTTGGATACAAGTGATTCCCCTGCATCAGCCTCCTGAGTAGCTGTGACTACAGGTGCATGCCACCACACCTGGCTAAGTTTTTGTATTTTTAGTAGAGATGGGGTTTCACCATGTTAGCCAGGATGGTCTCTATCTCCTGACCTTGTGATCTGCCCACCTAAGCCTCCCAAAGTGCTGGGATTACAGGTGTGAGCCACTGCGCCCGGCCCTGTAACACTTTTAAAAAAGAATCTATAATATAAGCCTAATGAGAAAACAGGTATAGTTACTTATCTTAAGGTTTTGAACATAACATCTACAGCAAAACAAGTTAAGTTATAAAGGATAACCTTTTCTTTTGTTGGAATGCTCTCTTTACATGATTTGAGTCCTTTGGCAATAATGTAGTGAGGCTATTCAACAACTGAGCACTATTTGTTTTAAATCGTCTTAATCGATGGCTGTAAAACATCTTCTGGGTTAAAAAAATATATAAACAGCCATAATAATATGCAGGAAAGAATACTGGGATAATAATAAATCCCAAGTTTTGGAGCACAAGTGTCTGGATCCTTTGGAAATAAAGAGGAAATTTTTGACATTTTTGAGGGCAATGGAAGAATGAAAAATGTTTATTTATTTTGAATGTGAACATGGTGAATATATGTTAATTGGATTTCTCTATTGCTGTATCTGTATGTATGTTGCATCTTCTCTTCCTATTGCTTTTGGCTCTCTTTTTAAATCTGCCATGTTGCTTCCTGATAGAAGTGCACCAGGGCTTTAGGCTCACTGATTCCCGTTGACAAAACAAGTGTTGTTGCCTTGTAGGAGCTACTCCTGCATGCAGGCATTCTCTTTTTTTTTTTTTTTTGAGGTGCTCCAAAGGGCACTATCAGTTTCTCATCGCATCAGCCAACGTAAGATGGCTTTGTCTTTATTTTTATGAATCAGAGTTGTCTTTGATGGCTTGGTAGTGAGGCCAATTGTTCCTTAAAACACTAACGATAGTAATAAAATCCAAGAGGTAAGTAATAGGGCTTTTGCAGGGAAAAATTATCTTGAAAACATTTTTTTTTTCACACCTTATATCTTCTTGGCACTCCTTATCCGTGATGAAGCTGCACGTGCAGGTATCACAGGTCACTTTGGTCTTACTGCACAAATTACTGAAGGCAGTGGACACTATAGAGACACTAATTTGATCATTATACACATATATATGTATCAAAGTGTCAAATTGTACCCTATAAATATGTACAATTACATGTTTGTTTTACATATTTACATATTTATGTGTCAATTAAATTTTTTAAAGAAATTTTAGACAGATGAAGGGCTGAGAAAGCTGGTCTGTGACCTCACACTTACTTGTTTGATTCTGCAATTCAGACTCTGTCGTCTGACTTAGATGTGGTTCTGGCTAAAAATAAACAAAGACTTGGTTGAAATATTTGGCTTCTGTGCTTCCTGTTTTTCAAGCAATAAGGCAAAGTTGATGTTTTTACTTCTTAGAGCAGAAGTGTCTTTGATTACTATATGATAGAAACTCTCAATCATTTCCCATCATGTATGTTTAATACATTGCAAACCATTACTAAGAAATTCAGCAAAAAACCACACCCATATTTCTATGGAATGGCCTTCTGGCTGAATAAAATCTCTTTTTAAATGAGAAAATACTTTGATTGCAACCCTTACTGAAAAAGTTTCTAAGTCCAATAATGCCTTTACTGAATTGTGAAAGAATGTCCAGACGCAGTTAATTTTTTCTCCCAGGCTCTTGAACGAATTCCAAGTTACAATTACTAAACATTATTGCCCACTATATCTCCAACAACTATTTATTTAAAACCTACTATGTTCAAGATATTTTCTGTTTTCTGAGACTGTTGTATATCAAACGTTATTTTCTTGTTACACTATTTTTTCCAATTATAGGTTTTGAAAAGAGCATCCCCATTAACTTTGAAGGCTAGTAGGAATTCTTAGACCTCAATCTTAGTTCTATTTTACATCATTGTAGCTCAGTCAATATTTAAATCAGTATCTACAACAGTTCAGGCACATTGTGTTAAGTTGCATAGAAACAGATGCAGTCAGTTACATGCAATGTTTAGAAGCTCATAGAAATGCATAGAGGAGGCTGGGCTTGGTAGCTCATGCCTGTAATCCCAGCACTTTGGGAGGCCAAGGCAGGCAAATCATCTGAGGTCAGGAGTTTGAGACAAGCCTGGCCAACATGGTGAAACTCCATCTCTACTAAAAATACAAAAATTAGCTGGGCAAGGTGGTGGGCATCTATAATCCCAGCTATTCTGGAGGCTCAGGCAGGAGAATCGCTTGAACCTGGAAGGTGGAGGTTGCAGTGAGCCGAGATGGCGCCATTGCAGTTCAGCCTGGGTGACAAGAGTGAGACTCTGTCTCGAAAAAAAGAAAAAAAAGAGATAGAGGAAGCCCTCTGAAGGGTCTTCTCACAGCTGTGTTAAGCACTATGATTGAAGCATGCTTGATGGAGGAGGCAAAGGGACTAGAAGATCATTAGCAATGAGGGAAAGTCAGGAAAGTTTCTTGGAGGAGGTGATCATCTGAGTGATACATTCTGCATATGTGTTTGCAGGACGTCAACCTTCTAGAACGCAGTTTCAGTTGCTTTTATTTCAATTTAGCAATCACTTAATAAACACATTTTACTGATTGCATTGCATTTGGCAGGGAACAGGATACAGGTTTAGAGATAATTGACCCTGGGTCCCTCCTCTTTCATTTTTCAGTCAAGCATTAAAACATCAAGTTGCACTGTATTAATTACTCTGCCAGCTCTGTGTTTTACCTGAAAGTTTTAAAGCTTACGTTCTTTGTTCCTCTTCACCAGTGGCCCTCTGTTGCTTTTTATGTAATTAAATCTTTGTTATTATGATTGAATCAAATTATTATTTTTTGGCAGAAATGCAGTTCATCTTTCAGGCTAGAATGGTTAACTAAAGCATCATTTCAGGCTTCTGTAATAAATGGAAAATGCTATTTTCCTTTTCTACTTCTTCTGAATATTGTTTATTTCCTAAAGAAGGACAAAGACTAATAGGCAATACTTTTGAGAAGTATTTAAACATTTCCTCTATATAAGGCATTACAGTTTATAATGCAGTTTTATATTATTTCATTTCATTAATTCTAACCATAACCCAGTGAAGAAGGTATTATTATCCTTTCTTTTTTTTTTTTTTTTTTTGGAATCTTGCTCTGTTGCCAGGCTGGAGTGCAGTGGCGCGATCTCGGCTCACTGGAAACTCCACCTCCCAGGGTCAAGCGATTCTCCTGCCTCAGCCTCCCGAGTAGCTGGGACTACAAGTGTTTGCCACCACACCCAGCTAATTTTTGTATTTTTAGTAGAGATGAGATTTTACCATGTTGGCCAGTAGGGTCGCAATCTCCTGACCTCATGATCTGCCCCCTTTGGGCTCCCAAAGTGCTGGGATTACATGTGTGAGCCACCGTGCCTGGCCTATTATCCCCATTTTTAAGACCAAAAAAACTGAGGCTCAAATTAATCCAGTGACTTGCTCAAGGTGCTATAGCATCTTGAGTTACATGAGAGTTCACTCTCTTCATGTAACGTCCCCAGTCCCCAGCCAATCCCGACTAAATTATTCTTTCTGCTGTTTAGGATACTGCTTAAGTACATCTCCTCTAAAAAGCCTTCCATGATCCCCCAGCACTTCCTGGGAATCCCTCTTATGTGCTCCTGTAGCACCCTTTATTTATCCATCATCCAAAGTAGCACTTGGAATCAATATTGTATTTTTACAATATCTTATTTTGTAAAATTTTTTTACAAATTTTCCGTTTACAAGCCTGTCTTCTCAATTCCACTTGCAAACAACTTGAGAAGTATCATATCTTCATTCTCACTGACTCCCCTTTTAGTGTACCTGCCACAGAGAAGATTTTCAAAAATCATTTATTGAATGAGAAAGTTAAATAATTAAAACCTTGTTTGAATGAAAATAAGATAATGTATGTGAAAGTGCTTTGTAACACTTATGTGTATGAGATTTTCTTAGTCAAATCACTAGGTACAAAATGTTATATTAGGATATAGTTTCAAACATTCAAAGAGTTTACCTTCTAGTCCAATAGACACTTTACTGATATGACCCAGTTATAAAACAGTTGCACTGACTTCAAATTTTTTCCTGGGGCTCTATTAATCTGTGATCTCCTACAATCTTTACATTGGGATAGGTGTCATTTTAAATCATCATTTTTATATCTTCAGGTAAAACAAAAGAGTTGCAAAAGCCCCAATTGCTTATTTTAATATTAATTTTTATTTATTTATTTATTTAATTTTTTTGATACAGGGTCTTGCTTTGTTGTCCAAGCTGTAGTGTGGTGGCACTATCATGGCTCACTGCAGCCTTGACCCCTGGGCTCAAGTGATCTTCCCACCTCAGCCTTCTGAGTAGGTGGGACCACAGGTGCGTGGGACCACAGGTGCATGCCACCACATTAAGCTAATTATTATTATTATTATTTTTTAGGTAGAGACAGTTTCACCATGTTGCCCAGGCTGGTCTTGAACTCCTGGGCTCAAGCAATCTACGCATCTTGGCCTCCTATAGGGTTGGGATTACAGGCATGAGCCCCCGAGCCAGTGTTTGGAAAATTTTACATATATTAATTAATTTAATCTTCCATAACTATTCTAGGAGATACCTTTTCCAAATGAAGAACTTATCTTTATTTCCCCTTTATTGCTGAAGGATAATTTTGCTGGATGTAGAATTCTAGGTCGGCTTTTTTCCTTTCACATTAAAAGTGTCATTTTCTTCTGGCTTGCATTGGTTCTTGACACAATGTCTAGGTAATTTTTATATTTTATATTTGTTCTTCTGTATGCAATATGTCTTCTTTTTCCTTGTCTGTTCTTAAGATTGTCTCTAGTCATGGATTAGTCAAAATGGTTTCTGTGGCCTTGGAGAGGTTAAATAATTTAGTGGAGTCAGGATTAAAATTCAGCTAATATTTCTCTAGAGGCCCTGCTCTTAACCAGTTGAACATGCTGCCTCTTTTACGGTAGATAAAATCAGTTTTTTTGATAAGGACACTGAAGCAGAAAGAGGTGAATTTAGGTCTCCTGATTCTCAAGGTCAACATTCTTATTTCCATTAATCACTCAGGACAGAATCATACCTAACTTTTTCTACAAACTTTTCTGAATATGTTTTTTAAAAGTTCAGGGCAATTACTTCCAACCCAGTATCCCTTTGATCTCTAGATAGTAGGGCTCAAAAAGGAAGTGTCAATATTTAAAAATTAGAAATCACACATTGACTCGATACGAGTACAGTGGGCTACAGAAGTATTTGACTCAGGCTGCTCATCTAGCTTTCCTTTTCACATCAGAAACTCTGATTGGTAATTATGCATTTATTTGATTACTTAAATAGGGAAACAAGAAAATTGTTACTTAGGAAATACATTTTATAGGACAAGACACTTTTAAATAATGGGATTTATAAGTAAATGTTACAAAAGGGATCTTTGCTGGTGAAAAGACTGGGAATTAGCGACCTGCAGTCTTACCCTTTCTGTCATTATGAACTCTATAGCTGGAAGGTTATGTAATTCTCAAGTTTGTTTCATTACTGCCCACTTACAGCTACTATTATACCTCTAAACGGTCTGCTTTTTAGTGGAAGAAGAACACAATGCTATGGAAGATTTGGAAAAGTATAAAATATAATATTATAGTATGAGCTTGTAATCATGATTTTATATAATAAAGATGGACTAACAGTAATCAAAACAATGTGGTACTGGCATAAAGACAGACATATAGTCTGATAGAATAGATTAGGGAGGCCGGAAATAAATAAGATGTATGATCAGTTGACTTTTGACAAGGCTACCAAGACCATTCAATGGGGAAAGGACAATCTTTTCAAACAAATGGTGGTAGGAAAATTGGATATCCACATGCCAAACAAGGAAGTTGGGTCCTTACCTAACACCATATACAAAAATTAACTCAAAATGGATCAAAGGCCTAAATGTAAGGCCTAAAACCATAAGGCTCTTAGAATAAAACATATGGGGAAAGCTTCAAAACACTGGATTTGGTAATGGTTTCTTGAGGATGACACAAAATAGGCAACAAAAGAAAAAAAATAGACAAATTGGACTTCATGAAAATTAAAAAAAATTGTGTCTCAAAAGACAATATCAACAAAGTAAAAAAACCCCACAGAATGGGAGAAAATATTTGCAAATCATATATATGAAAAGGAATTAATATCCAGAATATGTAGAGAACTCCTGAAACTAAGCAACAAAACAAAACAAAAAAAAACTCAATTTAAAAATGGGCAAAGGAAATGAATAGAAATTTTTTTAAAGAAGATATATAAATGACCAATAAGCATATAAAAAATGCTAAACATCACTAGCCATTAGGGAAATACAAATCAAAACTATGAGATGCTACTTCACACCCATTAAAATGGCTACTATAAAGAAAAAACCCAGAAAATAGCAAGTTTTGGCAAGGATATGGAAAAATTGGAAGTCTTGTGTGTTGTTGCTGGGAATGTAAAATGGAACAGCCGCTAAGGAAAATAGTATGATGGTTTCTCAAAAAATTAAAAATAGAATTACCATACGAGCTAACTATTCTACTTTTACATGCTAGGCTAATTATTTTTATTTTTTATTTTTTGATGGAGACAGGGTTTTGCCATGTTGCCGAGGCTAATCTTGAACTCCTGAGTTTAAGCAGTCCACTTGCCTCAGTGGATTGAGATTACAGGCATGTTGAGATTACAGGCGTGAGCCACTGAGCCTGGTCAATTTTATTCTCTGGGATATATTCCCCAAAGAATTGAAAACAGAGTCTCTAAGAGACGTGTACTATAAACATGTCAACACGTCTCCGTTTAACAACATTTTTTAGCATCATACTATTTGCCAGATACTGTTCCAGATGCTTAGGCTGCATCAAATGAACAAAATAGACAAAAATCCCTGCCTTCACAGCTTACATTCTGGAGGGGTGTGTCTGTTATAATGTCTGTATTTTAAATAATGCTTTAAAAATATGAAAATATACTAAAACTTTATTAATAGCCCTCAACACTTCAGAACTCATATTGTATTCTCAAAATAGCTCAAAGGCGTCTCTTGGCAATATGAACAGTTTTCTCATAGATTCTGTAAATTAGAAGACACCAAAATTATGCCTCAGAAATTAACCCCAATCTCAGTCCACTTTAGTCAGCAGGATTTTCACCAGCTTCACCCATAAAAGCAGTCTTCTCACATGATTGTACTTCAGGGCTCTGGAGGTAAAAAAGAAATGGAGTAGGGAAAGTTTCATGAGTCAAAATTGATTTATCCATTGAATTTATCTGATCAAACATTCTTCAATATTAAATGTTATTAAGATGCATTCTAGAGGAGATATGTTAGTAAGACCATCTTTGGAATTTGGAGTCCATACTTGTAGTTTAATAAAGTATTTGTGTCTCAAAACTGTGCCTGTTGAAATTCGTACCTATGTAGGGGTGTGTGTCTGTGTGTGTGTCTGTGTGTATGTTTATGTAAGTTAAAACAGTGAAGATCCCCATAAAAATGTGCATTTTATTGTGGAGAGTTTAATGTGTTGAATCGAGACCAGAGTTATCAAATATGGTACACTCTTTAATCAGATTAGTTTGCAGGTTCCTGGAAAAGTAGATTAATTTTGATATAGAAGAAAGAAAATCAAGTCCAAAGCAATTTCATGAGAACAGCATCACTGCAGGGTTAGACAGAGCTCCTAAAGGAATCTCATACGGCCAAAGAATCCCAGGGAGTAAGGTCCTAATGACAAACCATACGTCCGTAACAATTTTACCAAAGAATAGCCCACCCTCTTGCTTCCCATAGCATTTCTCAGCAAATCTAACTTTTGCTAGAACTTGCTACCAAATCTAGGAAACTTTCCTATTTGATTATTCAGTGTGTCTCTCCATCACAATTATATCATCAGTTAATAATTCTGACCCATTTTTCTAAAAGACAGCACAAATTCTTTCTAGCTAGTCATGTTGGAAATCTTTCTTCCTCAACAGATTTGGCAGACTGTGTGGAGTAGATAAAAGGTAGAATTTTTTTCCTCCTAATCTAATTGCCTACAGATCTTCTATCAACTAAAAATAAAAAGCCTAGTTCTTTTTTTGTTTTGCTTTGTTTTTGAGGTGAAGTCTCACTCTTGTCACCCAGGCTGGAGTGCAATGGTGCAATCTTGGTTCACTGCAACCTCTGCCTTCCGGATTCAAGTGATTCTCCTGCCTCGGCCTCCTGAGTAGCTGGTATTACAGGCGCCTGCCACCACACCTGGCTAATTTTTGTATTTTTAGTAGAGATGGGGTTTCACCATGTTGGCCAGGCTGGTCTCGAACTCCTGACCTCAGGCAATCCACCTGCCTCGGCCTCCCAAAGTGCTGGGATTACAGGTGTGAGCCACTGCGCCTGACCAAGCCTGGTTCTTATAATGGGTATGAATCTTATTCGACAAACTCAAATGTGCAAGCAACACATCTCTTTATTTTTATAAAATCAATTAATATCTGACCTTGAGCTCCTGTTGGGGCATTCAATTCTAGTCATTACTGGAGTTCTGTCCTCCTTGAAGTTGTGCAGAAGTCCTAGGATCATGACCCATCACCAGAACATTGGAGCAGTTCCTCCAGTTGTCAGTAATCAGACTGTGTTGATCATCACTGAGCTACCCATAGCCTCAATTGCATGGGGGCCTCAGGTCTGTTGGATCAGCTGTTTCTAAGCCACTCTTATAGCATAGGAGTGTTTGGTGAGGCTGGAGCCCCCTGTGTCTGGGTTTGGAACACTTCATTTCTTGACATCTCCTCTTCAGGGCACTGTTGCTCAGCCTTGTTCAGATCCATTTCACCTTTGTGGCATGCTGATTTCTCTTTCCTTCCAGGTCTGGAAAGCCTGTGTCTTTTATTTTGTTGCCTCTCCAAGTCCTCCCCTCTCTCTCCACTTCCTCTTGGACACCTAGAGCAGTGGGCTTTTCCCAAAGATGGGAAAGGAGTGCCTGGCAGACAACCTGTACTCTCAGCTCTTTAATGTAAACTTAGCCCAAGTGAGCTGCTTGAGATGAAAGAAGTGAACACAATATAGGAAGAACAAACACACCTTGATATTTGAATTATTATTATTTTTCCCCAAAAGTAAATCAATTAGAAAAAAAAGATCCTTGTCCACTTTTACTCTGAATAACAAATATAGAAGTGTATATTAATTGACTCAAAGTAGAACATAGGATTTAACATATATGCTAAAATTCAGATAAATTAAGACTTAAAAGCTCTGTACAAAAAATTAGCTGGGCATGGTGGTGGGTTCCTATAATCCCAGCTACCTGGGAGGCTGAGGCAGGAGAATCGCTTGAACCCTGGAGGTGGAGGTTGTAGTAAGCCAAGATCGCACTACTGCACTCCAGCCTGGGCGACAATAGCGAAGCTCCGTCTCAGAAACAAAATAAAACAAAACAGAAAACATCTGTATCCACAGCATGCAATCAGATAGCTGGTAAGGCAGCCTGACTAAGTAGAAAGGCCATTTGACAGAAGAGAAAGTACCTGGATTCTAATATGGGTGCTCTCATGGAGCTATGTGTTACCCTGAGAGTCAAGGAAGAGTACAAATTCTCTTGTCCTTAGCTTCAACCTTGTCAAGCTAGGGGGCAAAATTATATAATCTCTAATGCCCTAATAGTTCAAACACTTTATGATTTTAACTGCCCTTCTGCCACTATGAAACATTGTTTACTAAATAAAGAGCACTTGTCCAAATTTGCTGTGTGAAAAATTCAGCCTGAACACTGTCTTTTATATGTGCTACACAACCCTTATGTAAGAGCATTGGGAAAGTCATGGCCCTTTTCACAGTGAACTGTCCAGTGAGATTTATCTATAAAGCATTGAGAAGTTTGGTACAATAACTGTCAAATGACAGGCTTATAGAAACAGAGATGAAACCCAGAAAACTAGAAGAAATCGTGACCTGTGCACCTATATTATCCTGCACTGATTTTTCTCTTTTTACCAGGTAGATTCACAGAGATGGAGTCTAGTATATTAAATCATGAGTATTTGTTTAAATTAATCACTTAAAGCACACAAAAAGCAGATTAGAAGTAAAAATAAGTAATGCATAACCTGGGCATTTTCTCTAGGTTCTCAAAATTCACTGCTTTTCACAGTTCAATTCCATTTGAATTTAAGCCAGTTTTCCTCTGGGTCTTACCAAACTATCTTTAGAATTTAGATAACCCTGGTTATGCTCTGAGGAAAATAAACAAAAAGAAAGCCACATAACACAAAAACAATGTTCACTTTAAAATTTAGCCAAGAACATTCAGAACTGGCAGAGATTCTGATATTCCAAAGATTTCCAGGCAAATATTGCAAGCTTTAAGCATTCTATTTTGAATAGTGAAACATTTATGCCATTCTAATTGACACTGTAATTTTCAACATATCAGAATAATAGATTGCATTCAAAATTTAGCATCTCTGTAGCTCCAACACAACCTCCATATTAGAACTCCAGATGTTCAAGCAGTCATCACTGCCTGATTGTGCCAGGTAAGACTTGGTGTTAATTTGCATTTACACATAAAAAGAAGGCTTCTAAATCTAAATTGGGATCTTCCTCAGTATTGGTCAGAATTAAGTACTTACAATAATTTCTGTTTTTTCCATGAGTTCTTAACTATATGAGTAATCACTACGGTTTTTTTTACTGAGGCCCAAATCATAGCCAATGATGGAGAGTTAATTATACTGAAGGACAATGTAGACAGAACAGATTTTTCTTTCTTCTCCCTGGTCTGTATCACAGGGAGGATCTGTACCTTCCTCATATGAACATAATGATAGTAGTCATGTTCATTAAGCTTGTACTAAGTTCTACGTACTTGACCTAGATATTATTTCATTTGATGTTTATAATAACCTATGGCATAGATACTTTTTAGATGAAGAAATTTAGATGAAGAAATTGATTAATCGAATAATTTGAGAAAAAAATCTACGTAACTGTATTAGTTTGTTCTCACACTGCTATTGCTATAAAGAAATACCTGAGACTGGGTAATTTATAAAGAAAAGAGATTTAATTATCTCAGGCTGTACAGGAAGCATGGCTGTGGAGGCCTCAGGAAACTTACAGTTATGGCAGAAGGTGAAGGGGAAGCAGGCACTTCTTACATAGCCAGAGCAGGAGGAAGAGAGGGAAACGGGTAGGTACGACACACTTTTAAGCAACCAGATCTTGGGATAACTCATTCACTATCACCAGAGCAGCACCAAAGGGGATATCCATCCCCATGATCCAGTCACCTCCCACCAGGCCCCACCTCCAACATTGGAGGTTACCATTTGACATGAGATTTGGGCAGGGGACACAGACCCAAACCATATCAGTAACCATAAATCCTGAGCTCCTGTGTGCCATACCATGGCTCACTTTGGGCACTCTCAAGCCCAGCTACCCAGTTGATTGGACCAGCTGGACTGGGTGCAGGCTAAAAACCCCTTTTTGTTACTAACCACTCCCTTCTAAACTTGCTCCATAGACTTGTTCTTCCTCTTTCCTAGATGAAATCTTGTGCAGATAGTATACCTTTCCAGTCTTGATCAATCACAATAACAGCCTCATTTTAATCCATTACAATTTCCTATATAGTGAAATATCAAAATTCCAAACTTCTCCTCCCCCAGCTTTATCCTCTATCAGGCTTGACAGTTGCATTGAGAAAGCGCGGTATGTGTGGGCTCATTTTATTTTGCTTGGTCATTTTTTCCTGTACTCAATCACTGCTTTATCTGATCAGGGGAAAGGGTCTGAATTTAACTGGCTGGTCCTGGTGTCATGGGATGTTGACACCCTCTGATTGAAGCTGACATCCAGAGCTGACTCTTTCTGCTTTGGACACTTGTTGAGATTCCCCTGGGGGCTCTGGCTGAGAAGCTCCTTAAGGACCTCTCTTCATGCAGGCACATTTCTCCTCCCATTGGCTGCCCAACTCTGTCATGCTCAGACCCTATGCTGGTGTCCCTTTCCCCTCAAAGTGGTCTTCTTGGATTGGCTGCAAGTTTGGTCCCCTTTGTCTTATTGTCAGTAGAAGAACAAGTAGATCTCGATGCAGCCACCTCTACTCTGTCGTCAGGCTGAAACTGTTCCAGGCATAGCTTTAGACTCCTCAGGCACCACAAGTTCTTTAAACTATGGAAGACATGGGCAAAATTATTTGATTCTCATAAATTAGATCTTATCACTTGGCTTGAAGGAAGGTTATGGGTTGAATTATGTCCCTTCAAATTCATATTTGCAGTCCTAACCCCCAGTACCTGAGACTGAAACCTTATTTGGAAATAGTCATTGCAGTTATAATTAGTTCAGTTAAGACAAGGTCATGCTGGAGTAGGATGGGCCCCTAATCTAATATGACTGATGTCCTCATAAAAAGGGGGAAATTTGGACACAGACTGCACCCAGAAAATATGCCATGTGAATATAAAAACAGAGATTGGGGTGATGTGTCTACAAGCCAAAGAACACCAAAGATTGACAGCAAACCACCAGAAGCTAGGAGAGATGCATGGAACAGGCTCCTCCTCCCAGCTCTCAAAAGGACCCAACCCTGCCAACACCTTGATTTTGGACTTCTAGCCTCCTGAACTGAGAGACAATAAATTTCTATTGTTTAGGCCACCCACCCTGTAGCACTTTGTTATAACAGCCCTAGGAAGCTAATACAGAGGGGAATAAACATCCTGTGCCCCTCTCTCATGCCCTCATGGGGAGAAATGGAACAGAGACTGCCAGATAAATTCTTTTTCAGTCTCTCCAAATTCAACCTCTTACATTAGCTAGAGGTGGACAATCAGCTAATACTCACAAAACAGATTTTAAACCACTCCCTTCACAAGTCCTGCCTGGATGATCTTGCACCTCACTTTAGAATGCAAGGGTTCATGGAACCTAGTGCCAATCAGCCATCCTAGTTTCTTTATTCATGGGAATAAGTGCACCAAGTGAGCACTCTTGACTCATGCTGCCTTGGGTCCAGGCTCTGTGCTGAGATGTGGCTTAAATTTTATCTCTTTTCCCTTTTTGTCTTCTTGAGTCACAGCAGCTAGTTGTGGATAACTTCAGGATACTAAATTAAAGGTACATCTTATCCTAGCAGTAACAACTTTGTAATAGCTGTCAGTGATGGTGGGGAATTAAATAGGGTGGAGGAAAAGGCAGAGAACTAAGATTTATTAAGCACCTATGTGTGCTAGGGTCCATGCTGCATATTTTATATGCATTATCTTCCTTAATTATTACACCTCTGAAAATAAGCATTAAGATTAGCTTTTGAAAAGAGGAAATGAGAGCTCAGATATATTACCCAAATTGTATGCATTTCACTAAAGCAGGGCTGGACCTATAATCAAATCTATATCTGTCAAATCTCTTACTCAAAAAATCCAAATCTCTTACTCAGGACTTACTACATAAGTTTTGGATCCCAGTGCAAAATGAAATGTGAGGCTCCTTGTTAAAAGATCATGAAGAGTTTCAAGGTGGTGACTGCAGAGCGTCAAACCAACTGCTCTGGTGTGGCTGCCCAGGTTGCAAACCTATGAAGCCAGCCTTCTTTGATTCTTCCACAACACTCTGCTGGGGAAATGTTGATGAATCTGAATGCTTCACAAATCTTATTAGCTGGCTTTAGCATCTCATTGATCCTGTGTGTTACAAGGGAGAAAATAAATTGATATCTGTATCACTACACTTCTCAAAGGTATATTGACCTAGTGTTCTCTTTGAAAGATTAGCATCCCATAGGTTTTCAATGGATGGGCCATTTATCTAGCTCACCTAAAGGCTATTGGGCAGTTTTTGGAATAAGTTGTTGCATAATCAATTTTGGTACTTATTCTTTGTTATGCCCCTTTTGCAGAACTTCAATGATTTCATCAACATTAACTTAAGTTTTGTTTAGATGTATCTAAAACTTAAAGTGTAGAAAAATTTTTGAATGGAATTTAAAATGATCACATTGAGAACATTATCATTAAATCTTGCTATTTTAAAATGTTTTCCAAAGATTAAGGTAAATAGAGCTTTAAAAACATGTAAGAAAATCTTAAATTTTACTAAATCTTCTCAAGGTTACTCTCAGATGGGAAAATAGTACTGCAACTTTCAGAGATCATTATGTTAACAAGATCAAAATGGTGCTACACCAAGTGGAAAGTGATTATTTATTACCAGCATGTTTTGCTGTTTAAGATTCTTAGTTTCTTATATGCAACCCAGGAACCCTTAATTGTCTTCCCTGTCAGCTCATTTTGACAACCATTCATTTTTTAAAATATCAAACTGAAAAGAAACAATCTCCTGGTTGTAATAATTATATACAGCTGATTTCTCTCTGGTAGATAATGCTAGACAAAGACAAGGCATTTATCATAGATAAACACACTGAGGCAGGGCTGAGACAATCAAAGTGAAAGATCTTTTTTCTTGTGAGGCAGTTTTATTCCAGTGACCTTATTTCTGTTATTCAAAACCACTAAGAGGAAACTGATGAATATTTGAGAAAGACAAATAACTCTGGTGCCCCATATTACTCCTAAAAATATATAAATGTCCTGGTTTAAAAATCAGATATGCTAATTTATTTAAATGCAGGAGTTCCAAATGAAAAATATCTTTGAGGAAGCCCCAGGTTATTTTCCTCCTGGCTTTCAGGAATGAAATTAAACAATTAAATATCAGAAAGCATAAAATGACTTTAAATTGTTTTTTAATCCAGTGATTTATCAGGTCACAATCCAGGGCCATAGTGAAGTTGAGTGGCGCTGTTTTCACTTGTGCCTTCATGTAAGTTGGCCAGTAACTATCTGTTGATTGGATTTGGCTGTATTCTCAATGAAAGCCTAGTGCTCTAGAAAAGAATGAGCTTGGCAGTCAGATGGGGAAACAACAACAACAAAATTACAATAATCTGCCTAATTTTATTGCTGGGAGAAGACAGGGAAGAGAAGCCAGGAAAAAAAAATTCAGATAACAGAAAGGAAGAGGCAGAGTGGAAAGACAAAGAAATTGTCAGGGAAGAAGAATGAGAAAAATACCAGGAGTTCAAGCCAAGGATGGATTTAAGTTTGTTGGCTCAAATAAGTAAGAAGCTCATTAGAAGTTCCTACTCTAGAGGAGTGGCAAAACCAGGCAGGATAATTTTTCTTTAGAAACATGTCTGATTTCTTTTGTTATTTTTGCAGCTATCATCATTAGATGTTTGTTCATTCGAGAATATAAACTCATAATTTAACATGTTACCTAAACTAACTTGCCTTACTAAATTTAATTCTGTGATCCAAAGCCCAATCTGTGTTTATTTTTAATAAAAGTTTTATTTAAAAATAACCAATAGCTTAGTTAACAGCTGTTCTCTCAAGGAACACAAGATAACTTCCTTCCACTCCTTTTGTCCATGGGCAGCTCTGTGTGAATGGAAAGGTACCAAATAAAGCCATTTTGTTATTTCTATCTTGGTGTCAGATATTAAATTTGCAGTGTAAGGTTACAAAAAGCACAAGCTGCCATTTCACTTTGGGCAAATTTGCTTCAAAATAATAGCTAGGAAAATGAAGACTCAACCTTTATGGCAACAATTCAATAACAGAGAGGTGATCAGGTCACACGACTGCACCAACATTCATCACTCAGTGTGATCACACAGGTATTATTCATTTGGCATCACAGAAATGAAGTCATTATAACCAAGGGCTGTGTCATCAGATCAGCATCTGCTGCTCTAGAAAGAAGCTCCTCATCTTTGCCTAATGGTTTATATTTGAGAAAGGTCTCAGTACCCAGAGTTTAACAGTCCATGTCATTAGCCTGTAACTATTTTTTTTAGAAAGTCACCTCATCCATTTCCTTTATTACCATATTTCTCATGCCGGAATGTCAGAAGTCATAAAACTTGTGATATCTTGCAGGACACATTAGGAAATGTGTTGGAATGTGCTCATTGGATTGATTCAGCTCTGGGGGAACAAGTCCTAATAAAATAACAGTAGACCTCAAAAATTAGGTTCCAGTCCCAACTCTGACATGAGCAAGTTGTACCCATGGATGAGTCATTTAAATTTGTTCTTGGTTTGCTTATTTGAGAACAAATTAGCTCCTTTTCCATTTCATCCATTTCTTGTGAGGATCAAATGAAATCGTGGCTTTGATATGAGTGCAAAACATTACACGAATGTAGGAGTGTGTGCTCTGGAGTTAGATTACCTGCGTCCAAACCAGGGCTCCCCTATTTGCTGGCTGTGTAACCTGGGGCAAGTAGGATAACTTCTCACATGTTCTCATGTGGGGAAGATTATGATTGCGATAATAATAATAATTAAATCTATCTCCTAGAACTGTTTTGGAGATTAATTAGGATAATGTTGTAAAGTAATTAATATTCTTCTGATAGAGAAAATAGCAAACAACTATTAATTGTTACTGTTAGAGAAACAGAAATTCAAGTCATTCCATGCATTTTAGTATACTTCTATGATGCTTCCTTCAGTAGATTTTCAATAAAAGGCTGTTGGATAATAGTAAATTGAACACTGTATTTATCTTTAGGGTCAAATAAATACCAATGACTATATTTACTGTTTTTTTTCATAATAAGCCTTTTGATAAATTATCTATAATTTATAACTGTCAGAGAAAAGTTCTTCTTTTTCAAAAAATAGCACTATATTATTTAAAAGAATTATAAATATCTAAATATGTGAATCATTGTCACGTTTTCACTTGCCTGATACACTAAGGGATCACATAAATTATAATGAATTATAAAATCAGAGAAGAAATTGATCAAAGAATCAGATTTTTTTCCAAAGGACTACTTGTCTGTTAGAATTTGCTTAAATTCTTTCTGATAGAAAGTGCTTCCTGATGCAACTCATTCTCTGTAACCAAAGAAAGAAACATATTTGCAAAATTTTCAGATGGATTACTGATATGGTTTGGATATTTGTCCCTTCCAGATCTCATGTTGAAATGTGATCCCCAATTTTGGAGGTGGGGCTTAGTGGGAGGTGTTTGGGTCATGGGAGGGGATCCTTCATGAATGGCTTGGTGCCATCCTTGCAGTAATGAGTTCTTGCTCTATTAGGTCATGCCAGAGCGGGTTGTTTAAAGAGCCTGAAAAACCCCCCTCTCTCACCATGTGATACATCGGCTCCCCTTTGCCTTTCCACCATGATTAAAAGCTTCCTGAAGTCCTGACCAGAAGCAGATGCTGGTGCCATGCTTCTTGTACAGCCTGCAGAGCCATCAGCCATTTAAACCTCTTTTCTTTATAAATTACCCAGCCTCAGGTATTCCTTTATGGCAACACAAAATGGACTAACAAAACTACCTCTCAGTTTCAGAAGGTCCCATTTGATTCACTGATTTTAATTTTTTTACTAGTTAGAGATTCCTATGGAGAAAGGACTCAAGAGGTCACCTAGTTTCTTGAGTGCTTTCCTACCTTCACAGATTATATTGTCTGGAAAAGATCAATCTTGACTCTATTTGCATTTTCAAAAGTATTCATTGATGAATCTTCTAAATTTTCCCTTTAGAATTCAGTCTTATGTCTAACAAATTTCTAGGTGGTAGATTGGAATTCACAGAGGGTGGATAAAAGGTTATTAACATTAATCTCCTAGGCCCTTCATATATAGAGGCATATTTACCCTGTTTGCAAAGTAGGTCAAGCTGTAACTCTTAAATTTGTGACAATGTTGGTTTTCTCAACTAAATTTAAATTTTCTGGAGGACAAGCCACTTTTCATAGACCTTGGCGATAGACCAAAGAATCTAGCAGAAAGACAAAGAGATGGCAGCTTCTCAACAAATGCTTTAGAATGGTCTTAAACCAAGAGTCTCTAAATAGATATTATTTATTATCTAGACCCAAGGATTGGAGCAGAGGGCAGGAGGTGAATGGGAAAGAATGAGGAAGAAGGAAACGTATTTATTGAGTGGCCAGTGTGCATCAAGCATATTGCTCTTTACTGTATACATGCAGTATCTTGTTTTTATCATATCAGCCCTATGAAGTAAATACTGTGACACAATTTTATGGATAGAATTAAGGCTCAGAGAAGTTACATGAGTTATCCAAGATCACAAGACCAGTATGTGGTCAAAATGCAAGTCCACCTGATGCCTTCCCATGCTCTTTTCTTGTTCACGCAGGATTATAACATATCACAGTTTATTATATATCTCATCATATGAATAGAAATATGCCAGTTATGTTAAGCAGAAATTATGCACTGTGAAACCTTGAACTAAGAAATGAACCTGTGATTTTAGGTGTTTTTTCAATTAAACAAGAAAGCCTAAAGAAATGTTAAGCCTATTGAGCAATATAGCATATCATTTATATGAAGCATATTTATCTCAAAGCTGGTTGGATGCTCTGTATAGGAAAAACATTAAAATTGTTCTGCTTCACTGAAGTTGAGTGGGGGGAACTGCAGGTTTTCTTGGGAAATCTTCCAGCTGTTCAGTGTGTGCTGAGAAGAACATTCCAGGCTCCTGAAGCAGCTGCCAGTGTCCTTGGAACTCAGCAGAGAGACAACAGGCTGCCAGGATCATGTGTACCTGTTGTCTCCAATTCCTGCCTCTCTGAGGATCTGTGACTTGCAGCTCATTGGCACCACCCCTCTGCTGGTATTTAGTATTGACAGTCTCAGCTCTACTTCTCCAATTTTAACCCCCAAAGGTCTCTTGGCAACTCTCATCTGCTATTATTATTTCCTCTTTCATCTTTTTTTTTTTGCCCTTGTCGATTTTTTAAACTTCTGAACTTTAATTTAATAGATTTTATTTCCACAGACAATGAAGATAATGCATGTGTTCAATGTAATATACAAATATTATTTTGGTGCCAGCCATGGTGGCTCACACCTGTAATCCCAGCACTTTGGGAAGCTGAGGGAGGTGGTTCACTTAAAGTCAGGAGTTCGAGACCATCCTGGCCAACATGGCAAAACCCCGTCTCTACTAAAAATACAAAAATTAGCTGGGAATGGTGGCTCATGCTTCTAATCCCAACTACTCAGGAGGGTGAGGCAGGAGAATCACTTGAACCCGGGAGGCAGAGGTTGCAGTGAGCTGAGACTGCGACACTGCACTACATGCAGTGGGGGGGTGACTCTGTCTCAAACAAACAAACAAACAAATATTATTTTGGGGTATGTGTATGTGTGCATATGTGTGTTTATTCTAAGCTTTCTTATTGAAATTTTTTTTAATTTCTTATTTTTAAAAATAAAAATTGTGGGTATATAGTAGATGTATATATTTTGGGGGTACATGAGATGTTTTGATACAGGTATGCAATGTGAAATAATCATGTCATGAAGAATGGGATATCCATTCTCTATGCCGACGTATCTTATTTCTACTACAGTTTCTAATTACTTCCCTAACTACTCTGCTTTTTTTCTTCTTTTCTTGTCCCCTAACTTCCATGACTTTCTGTATTCCCTGTCTTAGAATGCTCATCCTTCTCAAAGCTTATATTCCCTTATCTCCAGACATAACTACAGTTCTGATTATTAAGCCTCAGTCTCCTATGTCCAGTTACTCATAGGACATCTTCATTTGGACGTGCTTCCCTCCTTCAAGTATGAAATGCCCACCCCATCATGTCCTCACAACAGGGCACCTTATTTCCATTCCTGATATAGGCACCCTTCAAAATAGTAATAATAGAAGACATTTATTGAAAGCTTACTGGGCAAGCCATTACCCTAATCTATCTTTCTAAGGAAACTGAGGTTGGAGAGGAAAGGTAAATGCTGTGTCTCACAGCTAGTAAGTCGTAAGTGATGGAGCCACAATTTGAAGTCAGTCTCACTATAGGACATGTACCCTTTCCCACACTGCTTTGTTTTATACTTATCTTTGAATAACAGGAATCAGTTTCATCCCTTAATGTCAGGATAATGACATTTAGGTTGGCCAATTTAGGCACTGCTATACACATGGGATGTATCCAATAAATATGTGTTGTATCTACCACACGGCCCTCTAGACACATTTCGGAGTGAAGAGTTATGTTTAAATCACATGTCTTAAAAGGTATGATTCCCAAGCATTAGTGATGAAAATTACTGTGGAAAATACCTGTCATCCAGAGAGCTATGTTTGCAGAAGAAAGGCCATTTTTAATCTAAGCTAATTGAGGACACGGAGGAAAAAAGAAAGTAAATACCCTCAACTCATGGTATTTCAGCATTCCATTGCATTATATCCTGCAGTGTTTGCTCTTATTTCAAGTTTGTTCATTTGTTTTTATGCCTCTCACTATCTCTGTTGTCCCTTTAAGATTTAAATCTTCTGAGGGTTCCTTTTCTCTTTAAGTCACTTTGAATATTATGTAGGCCACAGCATGCCTCACACCAGAGACAATGAGATGCCTCTAGATGATTAGAATTCAAATGATTAGAATTCAGATAGAAGAAAAGAGATACAATTATTAATCAGTGAAACGTGTAAGAAATCACATTTGGACATTACAGTTATTAATTTGCTTTAAATATTTTTATTAGGTGGCAAGCACTCTTCATGAACTTAGAGATTAAGACTCACAATGTATTTCTCTATACTTTAATTGCTTTTTCATCTGAGTTTAAAAATGTGATCCTTGCTCAGTTTTTGAGCTGTAGTTGAAGAGTGCATCAGGACAGGAACTAGTGGAAGTGAGTTGATATCTTTATTCCTCAGGCAATGAATAATAAGTAGTTTGTTGGTAATTTCCATTAATCTGTGAGACAGACAGAATATTATCATGCACTTCACAGTGTGTGTCAGCAATTCTGCCATTTCTAGAAACATAAAATTATCCATGTCTATTTTTCATAAAAACCTTAATTTTTACAGTCTTTCAATGGCAATTTAGTTTTGTCCAAAATTCATAAAATTGACTTGTCATAATTCTCCAATTAAATTTATCCCAACTCAAAAAATATTCTAATTGCTGTATACACTAAATAGAGGAATTTATACTTAGAATTCACAACTTTTTTGCCCTAAACAATCAAATAAGCAAAATTATATATAATATGTTATTTATATATATATATATATATATATATATATATATATATATGCCTTAAAAATTACGGTAAAATTGCTGTAGAAAATTCAGAAAAAAATATATTGAAACTATTAGTTAAATCTTTCCCCATTCTGTACCTAATTTTTAGAAAAAGTTAGAAAACAGTAGGACAAAAGACTGATATTGGGAGTGGGAAGCTTCAAAAATGAACCTGCTTTCTGGATCATTCATTTAGCAAATTACTTATTGAGGCTTCACATGTCTCAGGCCTGTGCTAAGGTGCTGAGAACATTAACCTTGCCCTCAGGCTATTGCCCTCAATCTTCTGTAACATGAGCTCTTTGTGATGGTTTGTTCTTATTTGGAATTCTCAAAATACGTATATTCTGGGAAAAGATCAGAGATGATGGTAACGGTCGTAAAAGGGAGACAGCAAAGTATACACGGTCATGGGGTTTGGGCTCTGGGTTCAGATGCCTGCATTTAAATCTTGGCTCCCTTATGGATGAGCAATGCAATCTTAACCTTGACTGCTCTGTGCCTCAGTTCCACATCTGCAAACAGGAATAATAATGCTGTTTAATTCATAGGGTTATTTGATGATTATGTGAAATACATGCTGAATAAATTTTCATTATCCACGTTGTAACTAACAAAATTAAGTTTCCTCCCCCGACAACTATAGATCTTAGAGCAGGAGACAGCAGCATATTTTTCTCAACGTTCTGTCATTTCATAATTTGTTGGTCATAAGAAACAAAGGCAGCATTAAATTGTCTTGTGGTCTCGGTTGTAGTGTCAGGGTAAAATCAGTTATAGGTCAATAACCTGGCTTTATTAACATAACACCTGGGTGATACCTGACTGGCAGGTATTTCCTGCATGCCTGCATTCCAGTGCTATAACCTGCTCAAGGACACAGAGCGCTCCTTACTTAGCTCTGTAGCCTCAGCACCTAGCGCAATCCTTTATACACAGTAGGCATCTGATATATGTGAATTGCTCAGATACATTCTTTTTTAAAAAATACTTTTAGTTAAAAATATACCTTTACTAAATTATAAACTTATTACATGCACTTGTGGATCATTTGGAAACAACGGAGCTTAAAAAAACTACAAGCTTAAAAAATTGAAATCACCTATAACCCTATTATCTAGCAATAACCATTAACATTCTCTTATATGTCTTTCTACTGTTTATCCATGAGTACATACCTTTATTTATTTATTTATTTATTTATTTTCAGAAAGACAATCATAAACACTACTTTTGGTAGCCTACTTTTAATTCAATAATATTTAACTCATATTTGTCCAGGTAATTACATAGTCTTCTGAAACATATGATACAAGTTATCCCATGTTTATTCTTGAACATTTCAATCGTATCCCATTTTATGCCTTTGTATTGAAATCACTGTAGTTAAGTACTGACATGCTCCTTGCTGTCCCCTTGCCTCTGCCAATGTGCTTCCATACTATTGTGTGCTTAACTTACTACAGAGCCTACCTATGTCATTAGGTTTTTCTGTTTTTTCCTCTTTTTCTCCTCATCAGTCAACATCCTCCATGAAAAAAGAGACCCTATGTATTTTTACCATTTCAATCTTAGTTTGAAGTATACTGCTTGGCTGGTAAAGGGTATTCAATGTATATTTGTTGAACAGATGAATGACAGGTATTACTTTCATAGGATAATGCTAAAAAACCCATTCTGAAATTTCATATAAAGGTTTATTCTTTGGAGGTAGGTGTGCCTGGGATATGAGCATGGAGAAGGGATATGAAGCTTGGGGTGACTGGGGGGTGCAGAGTAAAGTGAGGGAATCGAGGAGTGATCTGAGACTGGGAGCTGAGGGGCAGGGGAGAAGAATCTGGGAAGGGGAGTGAAAATTTTTCAAATGACTCATCTTTTCTTTTCATGCTTTTCATCAATAGCTTCATTTATTCTCACTGACCTTTAAAACAAAATTATTGGAAGGAAAGGGAAGGAAAACAACCTTCATTTACCTCTTAGGGGATTAAGTAAATGGGGGCGTGTTTGCTCCTATTTGGGACTGTCTGAATTATATTCAAATAATCCAATTCCAAGTTTTGACATGTTTAAAAATATTCCAGCTGTGTATCTAGCACATATTAATGGGGAAGGGAAGGAACCAATGTTTAGGGAGTGCCTTCTATATGCCAGGGATGTTTCTAAATTATTGCATTCAATAGTTGCAATTCAACTATGGACCATATGATTGGTGCATCCACTTCCTCAGGTCTGAATATCAGAGAGGATGAATTCTCTGGTTAAATGAGGAAATGACATACAGCTAATGTTAACAAATTCTAAATTTTCTGGAACAGTGAGGCTTTTCTATGTTTAGGTATGTTTTGGATGATTAATTTAGAAAGTGGAAAATAAAAACACTCATCCATAGAAATAAAACCATTTAAATACTTAGCCTTAAGAAGAGAAGATATTTTACCAACACCTGAAGGAGATATATAAAAAGTTAAAAGGCCAGGTGTGGTTGCTTGCACCTGTAATCCCAGCATTTTGGGAGGCCGAGGCAGGAGGATTGTTTGAGTCCAGGAGTTTGAGACCAGCCTGGGCAACATAGCGAGACCTCCCCGCCAACCCCCAATCTATGCAAAAAATAAAAAAATAAAAAATTAGTATGGCATCCTTGGGCATATTGCAGTCCCAGCTACTCAGCTGAGGTGGGAGGATCCTTTGAGCCTGGAAGGTCGAGGCTGCAGTGAGCTGTGATCGTGCCACTGCACTCAGCCTGGATGACAGCGTGAAATCCTTTCTAAAAAAACAAAAAACAAACAAACAAAACAAACAAAAAACTGGCCAGGTGCAGTGGCTCATGCCTGTAATCCCAGCACTTTGGGAGGCTGAGGCAGGCAGATCACTTGAGGTCAGGAGTTTGAGACCAGCCTGGCCAACATGGTGAAACCCCATTTCTACTAAAAATACAAAAATTAGCCAGGCATGGTGGCATGTACCTATAATTCCAGCACTTGGGAGGCTGAGGCAGGTGAATAGCTTGACTTGGGGAGGCAGAGGTTGCAGTGAGCCAAGATCACACCACTGCATTCCAGCCTGGGTGACATAGCAAGACTCGATCTCAAAAAAAAAAAAATTAAAAAATATTTCAGGCCACAAGTATTTCATAATTTTGCATTTACAAAGTGTACATTCAAAGGCAATTAATTACATGGCCTCACACTTTTTAAATTTAGTAGGAGTGTCCTTCTTATATTAACTTTATTTTAATTAGAAATGTATGAAACTAACAGGAGTTATAAACTTTTGACTTTATTGTTTTTAACTTAGTAAGTGCTTTTATTTATTAATTACTAAATGTCAGGCCAGAACCAATTATGTGTTTGTGTGTTTGTTTTCCTTCATTAGGAAATTGCCAGCTGACATCAGAGAAATGTTCAGGCCTGTTTCTGCATACAGGCCTTAACAAAAATGTGTTTTTCTTTTTGTTAGTATTCTTACTCTACACATTGCGCAAACTTTAAGAAAAGTTGTGGATACATAGTTGGTGTATAAATTTATGAGTTGGATGAGATACGTTGATACAAGCATGCAATGCATAATAATCACATCAGGGTAAATGGGGTCTCTATTACCTCAAGCATTTATCCTTTATTTGTGTTACAAACAATCCAATTATTCTCTTTTAGTTATTTCAAAATGTACAATAAATTATTGTTGACTGTAGTCATTCTGTTGTGCTGTCAAATACTAAATCTTATTCATTGTATCTAACTATATTTTTGTACCCATTAACCATCCCCATTTCTTACCCATCTCCCAAGCCCCTCCTCAGTCTCTGGTAACCATCCTTCTACCCTCTATCTCCATGAATTCAATTCTTTTGAATTTTATCTCCCACAAACAAGTGAGAGCATGTGAAGTTTATCTTTTTGTGCCTGGTATATTTCACTTGACATAATGTCCTCCAGTTCTATCCATGTTCTTGCAAATGACTGGATCTTGCTCTTTTTTATGGCTGAATACTACTTCACTGTTTGTATATACCACCTCTTCTTTATTCATTTATCGTTTGATGGGCACTTAGGTTGCTTCCAAATCTCGGCTGAATAGTGCAGCAATAAACAGCAAGTAAATGCTTGAGGTAATGGATACCCTATTTACCCAGTTGTGATTATTACACATTACATGCTTGTATCAACATGTCTCATCCAACTCATAAATTTATACACCTACTGTGTACCCACAATTTTTTTAAAGTTTGCACAATATGTAGAGTAAGAATCCCAAGAAGAAAAACACATTTTAGTTAAGGCCTATATGCAAAAACAGGCTTGAACATTTCCCTGATGTCAGCTGGCAATTTACTAATGAAGTAAAACAAGAGAGTGCAGATATCTCTTCAGTATACTGATTTCCTTTCTTTTGGGCATATACCTAGCAGTGGAATTGCTGGATTGTATAGTATCTCTATTTTTAGTTTTTTGAGGAACCTCCAAATTGTTCTCCATAGTGGTTGTACTAATTTACATTCCCACCAACAGTGTATGATGGTTCCCTTTTCTCCACATTCTTGCCAGCATTTGTTATTGCCTGTTTTTGGAAAAAAGCCATTTTAACTGGGATGAGAGGATATCTCATTGTAGTTTTGATTTGCATTTCTCTGATGATCAGGGATGTTGAGCACCTTTTCATATACCTGTTTGCCATTTGTATGTCTTCTTTTGGGAAATGTCTCTTCAGATCTTTTGCTCAGTTTTTAATCAGATAATTAGATTTTTTTCCTACACAGTTGTTTGAGCTCCTTATATATTCTGGTTATTAATTCCTTGTCAGATGGATAGTTTAAAAATATTTTCTCCCATTCCTTGGGTTGTGTCTTTACTTTCTTGATTGTTTCCTTTGCTGTGGAGAAGTTTTTGTGTGTGTGTGTGTTTGTTTTGTCTTTTAACGTGTCCATTTTTGCTTTGGCTGCCTGTGCTTTGGGGGTACTACTCAAGAAATCTTTGCTCAGACCAGTGTCCTGGAGAGTTTTCCCAATGTTTCTTTAGTAGTCACATAGTTTGAGGTTTTACATTTAAGTCCTTAATTCATTTTGATGTGATTTTTCTATATGGTAAGGGGTCTAGTTTTGTTCTTCTGCATATGGATATCCAGTTTCCTCAGCACCATTTATTAAAGAGATTGTTCTTCCATGATGCATGTGTCGGAAGCGAATTCACTGTAGATGTATGGATTTGTTTCTTGATTGTTTATTCTGTTCTATTGGTCTATGTGTCTGTTTTCAGGCCAGTTATCATGCTATTTTGGTTACTATAGCTCTGTAATATAATTTGAAGTCTGGTAATGTTATGCCTCCAATTTTGTTCTTCTTGCTTAAGATAACTTTGGCTATTCTGGATCTTTTATGGTTCCGTATAAAGTTTAGGATTGTTTTTTCTATTTCAGTGAAGAATGTCATTGGTATTTTGATAGGGATTGCATTGAATCCATAGATTGCTTTGAGTAGTATGGACATTTTAACAATGTTGATTCTTTCAGTCCATGAACACAGAATATCTTTCCATTCCATTTGTGTGTGTGTGTGTGTGTGTGTGTGTGTGTGTGTGTGTGACCTCTTTAATTTCTTTCTTGCTTTTTTTTCTTTTTCTCTTTTTTTTTTTTTTTTTTTTTTTTTGAGATGGCGTCTTGCTCTGTCACCCAGGCTGGAGTGCAATGGTGCAATCTCGGCTCACTACAGTCTCCGCCTTCCGGGCTCAAGCAATTATTCTGCCTCAGCCTCCCGAGCAGCTGGGATTACAGGTGCCCTCCAATACACCTGGCTATTTTTTTGTATTTCTAGTAGAGATGGGGTTTCACTGTGTTGGCCAGGCTGGTCTTGAACTCCTGACCTCGTGATACACCCACCTAGGCCTCCCAAAGTTCTAGGACTACAGTTGTGAGCCACCACACCTGGCCTCTTTAATTTCTTTCATCAGCGTTTTTTAATTTTAATTGTAGAGGTCTTTCACTTGTTTGGTTAAGATAATTCGTAGGTGTTTAATTTTATTTGTAGCTATTGTAAATGGGATTACTTTCTTGTATTCTTTTCAGATTGTTTGCTGTTGGCATATAGAAATGCTACTGATTTTTGTATATTGGTTTTGTATCCTGCGTCTTTACTGAATTTATCAGTCCTAATAGTTTTTTGGTGGATTCTTTTTTGTATAGAATCCACCTTTTTGGATTCTTCAGGTTTTTTTCACATATAAGTTTATATCATCTGTAAACAAGGATAATTTGACTTCTTCCTTTCCAATTTGATGCCTTTTGTTTCTTTCTCTTGTCTGGTTGCTCTAGCTAGGACTTCTACTGTGGCTGAGCTGGCACCCAAGCAACAAGACAAAGTCTTTCCCACCCTTACCCTTCCCTCAAGCAGAGTAGTCTCTCCCTGTGGCCACCACCACCCCACGCCTGGAGTGAGCACTGCCTGGCTATCACTGATGTTCATTCAAGGCCCAAGGGATCTTCAATCAGCTTGTGGTGAATGATGCCAGGCTCTAGGTATCCCTTCCAGGTAGTGGGCTCCCTTCTGGTCCAGGGCAGGTCTGGAAATGACATTCAGAAGCCAAAGCCTGGAATCGGGGACCCCAGGAGCCTGCTTGGTGCTCTACCCCATTGTATCTGAGCTGGTACCCAAGCTGCAAGACAAATTCCCCTGTATTTTTATCTCTCTTTTTTCTCAAGTTGGAGTCTGTCCCCATAGCCACCACGGCTGGGCATGTGCTGGGTCACACCTGAAGCTGGCATAGGTCTGAGTCTCACCCAAGGCCCGTGGTGGGTACAGCCTGGCTACCATTGCTGATTATTCAGGATCCAGTGGCTCTTTTGCCAGCAGGTGATGGATACTGCCAGGAGTAGGACCTTCTCTTTAAGGCAGTAGGTTCCCTTCTGGCCCAGGTGTATCTAGAAATGTTGCCCTGGAATTAGGGCCTGGAATGGGACCCCAGGACTCTACCTGGTGTCCTGTCCTACTGTGGCTCAGCTCGTATCCAAGTTGCAAGACAAAGTCCTCTTTACATCAAAGAAATATACTCTGCCTTTTTATGGAGGAAATCAGAATGTTACTGAGAAAGGGCATGGTTATGAGGAGTGGTGTAACCTATCTTAGTTTGCTTTGAATAAGTTAATGTTTTTAATACAGAATACCTCCAGTATATACAATCATTGCAAGACAGTAACTGAAGTCTGCAAGTCTGGGAGTTTTCAAGCACTTAAGCTCACTTACAGTCAAGGTACTTGTTATTGAGTGGGACAGTAAAAGAGGACAGGGAGCACACCCTGCCTGAACCTGAGTCTCCATGCTTAGACCATGTCCTCTGAGCCAGCAAAGTAAAATGGAGGAGGTAGAGGTTTTCTTCTTTCTGCACACACCTGTAAGCCCAGCTCATTTTGACAGGAACTCTCCACCCTCTCAGTCTCTGAGGTGTTCTTCTCTTCCTCTTTACTTACAACTCTCACACCTCCTCCTGGTCTTGGACCCTTAAAATAATGGTGAGTAGTAAAGCATTAGTCAGATTAAAAAACCCCTGGTAACCTCTCTCTCGTAAGAAAATGCTTTCACGCAGTAAAAATATGCTTACAGTGTTCTAACTTGTCATGTTAAAGGACAAGTTAACCATCTCAGTCCTAGTCAACACTTCTGATATTTCCCACTACCTCAAGGTAATGCCCTAATTTCTTATTATGACCTATTATGTACTTTAAGGCATAATCTTTGGCCTCTTATACCTTCAAATTCTGGGCTTTGGCCAAACTGAGCTACTTTCATTTCTCTGAATGAGCCATACTGTCGTATCCTCAACAAGTTACTTAACCTTTCCAAGTTTGGTTTTTAAATTAATAAACAGAGAATGTTGCTACAGATTTGCATGCAAGAACTTTATTAGGGAGTGCTGTCAGAATTTCCACTAAGATCTGTCACCCGCGGAACAGAGAAGAAAGGAGGCTTTGAGAGAGCAAGATGCCAGCCTGCCTTGCCACCAGTCCTATAGGAGACACTGGACTTGGGATGGCTCTGCAGAGTGCTGGAATAAGGGTCCTCTAGACTGGATGTTTTTGTCCCCCACAATTCATATGTTAAATCCTAACTCCCAATGTGATGGTATTTGGAGGTGGCGTCATGAGGAAGGAGCCCTCAGGAATGGGGTTAATACCCTTATAAAAGAGATCCCAGAGAATTCCCTTGTCCCTTCTGCCACGTGAAGGTGCAATGAAAAGATGGCCATCTATGAACCAGGAAGTAGGTCCTCACCAGTTATCAAACCCTGCCTATGCCTTAATCTTGAACTTCTGAGCCTCCAGAACTGTGAGAAATAAATGTCTGTTGTTTATAAACCACTCCCTTTATGGTATTTTGTTATAGCATCCCCAATAGACTAAGACAAGGGACAAGGGGATTGAGCCTTTATACTTCCTTACTGAGCAGTCATGGGATGCAGGCTGACCTTGGAAAGCCAGGGTGACCTTGAGTGAGGGTACTGTCTTACGGGGAGGGCAGGTCCTGAAGAGGGACTCCACTGAGATCCATCAGCCACCAATACTCCCAGCAGCTGGGGAATAAGTGTTTGTGTTCTGAAGTGGATAATCTGAAGGTTTCACCACTGCAGAATGAATACCTGTTTCATAAGGTAATTATGATAAATTTATTCCTGTGCCGTGCCCCCCAAAGCACACACATATACACATATATGCTTATTCTTCAGGTCTCACCTTGCATCTTATCACCTCTGGAAAATTTCCATGACTACACACCTTCCAACCTACAGTAAGCTATAGTCATCCTTTTGGCTTCTATAGCATTATTTATTTAATCCTGTAGTAGCAATTATTATACAATATGACAATTTCTAGTAATGGTCTGTCTCCTCATCAGACTGTAAGGGGCAGGAACCACAGGCCATAGTACTTTTCTTACTCTAAGCAGCTCCTCCATTATATTGTGATTATAATGATTAACCACCTATACCACAAACTCCACAAGAACAGGTCAATATCTGTTTGCTTTTTTTTCTCACTGTTTTATCCCATAGCACAGTACATGGAATGTAGTCTGAGCCTGATAAATATTTTGGTGTATGAGTGAGTGAATGTTGAAATTTCTCTGGGAAGGGAGAATAAAGACAATGGCATTGGATGGGGAGAGCATATCTAGAGTTCTAGATTGCTGACAGTTCTGGTATTCAAAGGTCCCGTGATGGGACTGCTCAGTTATGTGCAGTACTGAGGAACACTAGCTAAACTTTTCTCTATACCAAACCTTTATCCAAGTGCTTCACAGGTACTAACTCATTGAATCCTCATGATAACCCTAAGAAGAAAATACTGTCTATTTTACAGATGATGAGACTGAGATATGGAGAAGTTAAATCACTTGGTCAAAGTCACAAAGTTGAAGTAGTACAGGTGACAGACATTAATCCTCCATGACTTCCATTTTCTCAAATGAGAAGACCAACACACTCACTCTTATATCTTTCATCTTTTTTTCCGTAGTTCTGGATCTTTCAGACCTCATTATGTGCCCCAGTGCTTCCCCTCACTAGACTCTGTGTGGGTAGATGAGCCTAAACTGGGTCTTGTGAAGGCCATGGGGATGAGGTGACTGAAGACCTTGCTTTCACGGAAGAGTTTTGGTAAAGATATTCCTGTGGATATGGGAGATGCCAGAATTGTGATGAATCCTTTGATTAAACATCAAAGGAGGAGGAAGGGAAGGGGGAAAGTGAGACCAGGCACTGAAGCAACTCATGCACTTGGAAGACCTTCCTCCTCTCTTTTGGTCGCTATCCCTTTAAAAAAGTTATAGCAAATTCTTACATCAAAAAAATAACCTTAAGCTTTATCATTCAGAGCTTAGTAGGTAGAGGAAATTTTTTTTTTTATTGGAGGAGGGAGTAGAGGGCAGGAGGGCTTTATTCTCCACACCACATAGCTTATAGACTCCCCTCCTTTGAGAGGCAAGGCAGGCTGTGGTGCCTTGGGTCCATCACAGATGGATGTCAAGCTGTCATAGCACCTTAGGAAGTGTTGGGCTAGGTGGGGAGAGTGATAGGAGCCCTTCTTCTATTATTTCTAATCATCCCACTCTCCTCCAAAGTGATAACCCTTAAGAAAATCCTAAATTGTTTTACTTCAAGGAAATACTTTGAAAACTGGATTGAGTTTGAGTGTTTTATCATGATGCCTTTTTCTTTTAAAAGGAGTCCTGGAAGCCAAATGTCTGGGGATGGATTTAGCTTACTTGCTTCCAAAGAACAGTTGAGGAACTTATTAGGCTGTGCTATGATATTTTAGTGCATGTATTTGGTAGCTGTTTGTGTGGCAAGGAAACTATGTTGTCTTAAAAGGTAGACATTTTTATTCTTGGAAGAAAATTGTCTCTTAAAACACTTTTAATACATTTACTTTTACTTACTTTTATTGCTTGGTGAAATAAATAGTAAAATTAACAGGAGCGATCAAAAAGTCCTTCTAGGTCACATTTAGAAACTGCTAGAAATCTGAATTTGAACACTATTAGACTGAATTATATCAGGCAATCTTTTATTTTAATTATATACATACATTTCAAATAAAATGCCTGTTTTAGAACTACCATAGAAAAAAATATTTATTTATTTATTTATTTATTTATTTTTTGAGATGGAGTCTCCCTCTGTCGCCCAGGCTGGAGTGCAGTGGTGCGATCTTGGCTCACTGCAACCTCCACTTCCTGGCTTCAAGCGATTCTCCTGCCTCAGCCTCCCCAAGTAGCTGGGACTACAGGCATGTGCCACCACACCCAGCTAATTCTTTTTGTATTTTTACTAGAGATGAGATTTTACCATGTTGGCCAGGCTGGTCTCGAACTCTTGACCTCTGGTGATCCGCCCACCTTGAAAATATTTTAAAGTTGTAAATCTTACCATTGCAAAGGAACTATTTTTAGTATCCAAGTTTTTTCCTGTCCTTGTCCATATGCACATGTACATTTCCACAACTGTGCTCGTAATCACCATAAAACTTCGTGTTTATCTTTTTTAAACTAAATGTTATGTCATAAAATATTTTCTACCTTATTTTAGCCTTTATAATTATAGCCAGAAAGGATTCAAAATCTTCATTAAATCACTTAACCATACATAACTTAATAATTTCCTCATAGACTAATTTATTTATAACTTAAATACATAATTTTAAATCATCAAAAAATTGATAGTTTACTTTTTCTTCACATTTAAGGCTAGAATGAATATCACTAATGTTGAAATGTTGTAAAACACCATATGGCCACATAAGCACTAAAGCTACTCTTTTACTAAGCAATGTAATTCAGAGACAGACACTAAGCTTTCCTCAAAGTTAGTAGATAGCGCCAGGGTCTACACCCAGCCTTAGAAATGTAACCACTGAAGCCAACATTTTTGCACAGTAAGAGCATGTGAAAACTTCTTCCAGTATGTAACAATTGTTTACATAGGAACCTTGGTTGAATTAACCTTGATTATGCTTGTTCGTCTTCTCCATCAATGGGTTTAGTAATTTTAACCAACCAAGTAAGTACATTCCAGATATTTGACTGACTTGCTTTGAGAGACCTCTGTATGTGGAACTTGATGATGGAGGCTTTGAGCCTGAGATCCCAGTCCTCCTGTGGTACTTCTCTTGGTAGAGGAGATACATTCTGGGTGGAATCTAGAAGAGAAGGCAGTGCTGGCATACTGTTAGGGCATTTTCTTGATAAGTGTTATGAAACATAAATCTTCATTTGACTCTGAAGAAAGCCTAGGTTAGTATCAATATGAAAATCAGGTTATTGCCAGAGATTTGAGATAAATCTTTCCTGGGAAAGAAAACAACGATTTTTCCTTTGGCATTACGTCTCCGGTTTGCACAGGCTTGAGCTGTCGCTTTTGCAGAGAGACGACAGGTCTTAAACAGAGGCTTCTGCAAGGTTCACTACACATCGAGGGACTGTCAGACCAGCGGAAATGAAAAAGTTTTCTGTATTTAACCTCTGGGATTTTTGTCAGTCAAAACCCATGGGTGGAATACATGTGTCAACTCAGGCAGATAGCACAAACTGCTATTAGGCATGATGGAGTCTTTGCAGAATGCTAAGAAGATTTGGAGAATATTAAGTACTCTTAATACTGTCGGGTGATTCATGCCTCTAGTTGGCAGTTCTCATCTTGGAGCACGCTTGGAATATGCTTTCATTGAAAATGTCAGGCTGCTTGGATGGAGCAGATGCTCATGGGATGAGTCGGGTGCTCAGAACACAACCGGAAATATCCATGTTCTTTTTCTGACATTTTTGATAAAATGGAATAACAACGTAATATTCTTTCTGTAAAACTAGGCCAGAATATTTAAGTAAAGAAAACAGTGAAAGGGAAATACACGTTTTTCTCACGTGCATTGTAGAGTGTTTCCTTCTTTGTGGTCACTTATTGGTCTTTTAGCTGGTACTATCCAAAGGTGAGAGCCTCAAGGTCTGTAGTCTGGGCTAGGCACTTAAGCCATGTGCAAAACACAATGGAGCATAATGGTTAAAGAGCTAGATTCCACCAGGGATTGAATCCCAATTCTACCACTTACTTTGACCTTAAAGCAAGTTACTTACATTCTGTAAGCCCCAGTTTCCTTGTCTGTACTTATGAGGTTTTTGTGAGGAACAAATGAGATACATTTTGCAAAACACGTAGCTTGTTGCCTGTCATATCATGTGAAATCCATGTTGATGGATTGGACTTGTTGAGTAGATGGGTAGCCTAGGTCAGTTTTCCAGAAAGAAGGATAGGAGAGATGGAATGTTGATCCATGAGATAAATTGAGCTTACAGATTTATTGTGTATGTTTTTGACATTTTGAAAAAAATTGAGTAGTAATTTAAAGGTGACAGACTTAACACAAAACCATATCTGTTATTATTTCCAAAAAAAAAAAAAAAAAAGAGGAGATGTTGCATCACAAGACTTCAGTCCTCCATGACAGTCATCTTCAGGCAATCCCCACCACTCCCTATCATCCCTGGGGCCAAGTTTCAGTTGGCATTCAGCATTGTGCTTGCCATATTTGTTACAGCAGAAACAATATTTTCTATCAAAAATGAAAAAAACAAGATATACCAAGAAGGTCAAGAGTATATATTTTTTTATAAAAGTGAGGAATATTCTTAGGCATTTACTATACAAGGAAAGTATAAAATAACATGCTTGGCCTGCTTTATTGATTGATAATATCTCTGCGGTTCCTGTAGTCATGTTAGTTTGTGAACCATGATCTACAGGGCATAAGGAAGGATGAAAGAGAGTTCTCTAGAGCCTGAAATAGCCAGAAGTGGCCTGTGATATTAATACTTAGTTTTCATAGCACATAGAGCCATCTGCTGTCTTTCAGAGTTCATGCAGCCCTGCTATTCTTTGTCGATTCTTGCATATCACTTCAAAACCTCATTCTTTCCCATTATTTCTATATTTTTGGACTAGAACACTAACAAGTCTTCCTTCTTCCTTTGTTCTTTCCTATTTTCCTTTCTTCCTGTCTTTCTGTCTGTCTCTCTATTTTCTTTTTCCCTTTCTTGCTCCCTCTTTCTTTTACTTCCCCTCTCTTTCCTCCTTCCTCTCTCCCCCTTTCTCCCTCCCTCCCTTTCTTCCTTGTGCTTGTATAGTATTTTAACACCATTGTTCAATTACTCTTCCATTTAAATTTGTATCTATTCTACAAAGAGTATAACAATAATAAAGTAACCCAAATCCCACTAGCACTGTTTTCCATGTTGTGGGCTAGTTTCTCTGATTAATTCTTTATCAGTGTCTCAAGAGTCTGCAAAAAATCTTCGTTTATATGATTTGAGCTTCAAATCAATGGTGCAACTACACCCACTTCCCAAATGGTATTAAGCTTCATGTGGATCTTTCTGTGGGAAAAGTTGCTTTCCTTACATTAGCTGGGAACTACTAGTCTTTGGTTCAAGAGACTAAAAGCATTAGTATTCAATTAGACATAAGTCAACGCTTGCAAATCACTACTTTCCAAAAGAGAGTAATAATTTCCACTAGACAAGTGGCCAACAGTGATGGTTAATTTACTTCAGTAGTATGTGTACACCTTCCAGGGAATGACTGAACTGAGAAAATAAGTCCAAACTAAGAAGAGGGAGTATAGTGACTTTTTTTTTTTTCTAAACAAGTCTGTAATGCTGTTACCATGCACCGCATGTCAGTCAATAACGCTAAGCTTGGGTGTGGTAACAGACAGTCCTAAATTCTCAGTGGCCTAGAACTGAGTAAAGATTTATTTCTTCCTCACCTGCCCATTGTGGGTTTGCTGGGGCGTTGCTCATGAACCAAGCTGACAGAGGCTCTGTGTAGATGCATGCTGCCATGACTGACAGGGCCGGGAAAGGAAGAGCTCCCGCGTCCCACACCGGCAATTAACTGCCTCTGCCCAGAAACATCACAAGTCATGGCTGCTCATTTTTAACAGCCAAATAGAATCCTGTGGCTGTGCTGAGTTTGAGCAGGTAGGGAAATGCTATTTTACCATGTGCCTAGGAAGAGAGAGACTTGATATATTTGTGAATATCTTTAATAACTATCTAATACCTAAACCACACTTAGGAATGTGCACAAATTAATACTCTCATAACTGCCACTTGAGTGTGAATAACAATGTGTGGCGTTGTAATTCATGTATTTTTTCAGGCTAATGAGGAAACAATTTTTAATGCAGAGTATTTGAGTAAAGCTACTGATTTGGGGGAATTATTCCCTCCATTTATGTCACTCTTTTTCATTCCCCTGCTTTTCTGAGAACAATATTCATTTATTCACACTTTTCTCCTGTATAGCTTGTTTAACTTAATATAAGTGCTAAGTTTTCTAGATGGGCACAGTTGCCTGCTAGGTTGATTTAACTTTTAAGCTGAAAACAACCATATAGAAAGATATTTAAATGACTGTTTTTGCTGCTGCAACTACTACTACTGCTACTACTAATAAAAAGTTCTATGTTTTGTGTTATGTATTTTACCACCTAGTGACACCTTCACAGGGTCTTATGCCCAACATATAATTACTGATTCTAGTTGGTATGGGTTTTTGTGTATTGTCCATTTCAATATATTTAAGGTTTTATTTTGTAATAATTCTTGCTTTATGAACATTAAAATAAAATCCGAAAGTACCCATATGCATGGCATGGGTATTCTAGGTTGCAAACATTGTAATAAATTGTAGGCTTCATAAAATTAGAGCTCAGGTAAGAATACCACTTCCATTTATGGAAGCGTGTGGAAACTCCAGTTTCCTTGCTTGTCATTAAATTCAGGTCAATGGAAATTGTCTGCCAATTGCTTCTCCCATTTCAATGGATTTTATATTTTCTACATATTATTTTGTTCTCCATCCCAAAAGAATAGTCTTCTACATGTTTTCTCTTGAAAACACTAACATATTCTATCATGTATTTTATTTTGTGATAAGGATATTTAACATAATATCTATCCTCTTAGCAAAGTTTTAAGTATACAGTTCAGTATTGTTTACTATAGGCACTATTCTGCGCCTCTAGACCTCTAGGACATATTCATATTGCATAACTAAAACCTTGTACCCTTTGACTAATACCTTCCTGTTTTCCCCTCCCCCAACCCCTGGCAACCACCATTGTACTCTCTGCCTCTACACATCTGACTATTTTAGATTCCTTATAAAAGTGGGATCACATAGTATTCTCATTCTATGACTGTCTTATTTCACTTAGCATAGTGTTCTCCAGGTTTATCCATGTTGTTGCAATGCATTTCCTTCTTTTTCAGAGACTAGATAATATTCCATTGTATGTATACACCATATTTTCTTTACCCATTCATCCATCTATGGATATTAGGTTGCTTCCATGTCTTGGCTATTGTAAATAATGCTGCAATAAACATGAACGTGGTGACATCTCTTTGAGATCCTGATTTCAGTTCCTCTGGCTATATACCCAGAAGGTGAGACTGCTGTATCATATGGTAGTTCCATTTTTTATTTTTTTGAGGAACTTCTAAACTGTTCTTTATAGTGGCTGCACCAGTTTACATTTCCACCAACAGGGTTACAATTTTGTCACATCCTTGCCAATTCTTGTTATCTATTTTTTAATATAATAGTCATTCTAACAGATGTGAAGTGACATCTCATTGTGGTTTTGATTTGGATTTCCCTGATGATTAATGTTGAATACCTTTTCATATACTTCATGGCCGTTTGTGTGTCTTTTTTTGAAGAAATGTCTCTTCAAGTCCTTTGCTCATTTGCTCACTTTTTATTTTTTGTTTTTTGTTTTTTTGCTTTTGAGTCATGGGATTTGCTTATATATTTTGGATATGAACACCTCATCAGATAAATGGTTTGCAAGCATTTTCTCCTGTTACGTAGGTTGCCTTTTTATTCTGTTGATTGTTTTCTATGCTGTACAGAAGGTATTCAGTTTGACAGAATCCTGCTTGTCTATTTTTGTTTTTGTTGCCTGTGCTTTTAATATCACATCCAAGAAATCATTGCCAAGGCCAATGTTAAGAAGATTTTCCCCTATGCTTTCTTCTAAGAGTTTTATCACTTCATGTTTTACATTTAAGCCTTTAATCCATTTTGAGTTGATTTTTCGTATGATGCAAGATAAAGGTCCAATTTTATTCATTTGCATGTTAATATTCAGTTTTCCCAGTAGCATTTATTGAGTGACTATCCTTTCCCCATTTATTATTCTTGGCACCCTTGTTGAAGATCAGTTGACCCATTACTTCATTTATCAATAAAATGTACTCCCTTCTTTCCTATTTGCCAATCATATTTGTTTTCGTCATTCAGAAATCTTTTTTCTCTGACTTCTCCAAAGTAATTCCTACACGATCCCAGGACTTCAGCATATCTGTTAACACATATGTACATTCAGGTTTAGCTATAACTGGCCTTTACTTAAAAATATTGTTCATGGTTTTATTAGGCTTTAATGTTTACTGTCTATAAATAAACTTAAATAAGCTAAGAATCTACTTCCTTTATAATTCCCCATAATACACTGGCCTGCTATCACCTAGCGACATCTTAGATGAAGAACAAACATCACTTAACTCACATTGCAAAGTTGCACTTCTGTATATAAGCCTTCAAATTAGCACATTCCTAAGGCTTAAGAAAAATCGATTCAGGATGATAATACCACAAGTAAATATTAACCCTAACTAACACATGTGGGTAGATTAAGTGATATTAAAATACTTTGATAAATAAAAATTGATACTTAAAATGCAAGTTACTATTATTGGTAACAGAAAAAAGATAAAGGACTTATTGAATTATGCTTATTTAAAATATATTTTGAAGATGGTTTACAGCAAAACGCATATGAATTTTATAGTACAATAAAAATAAAAGACAATAAGCACATTTTGTAAAATTTTATTGTTTCTCAAAAATGATTTTAGTGAATAGATTTATATTTCTTTTACCAGAGT